>NC_000003.12:127947998-128099513 GCF_000001405.40 Homo sapiens | reverse complement strand
CTGTGGTCAAATCTAGTGAGAGGAGGCACAGCAATATAATCATGGTATATTTATACTTGCTCTTTATACTTACTCTTATAGTCCATGTGTCCCCAAAGGCACAGGAACATTTGGAGGAAGTCCTGAGTCCGGTTAGGGTCAGATGCGCCCTAGAGGGCATTTGACGTGAACTTTAATGACTGGGAACTTCTAGGAAGGAGAATGGCATTCCTGGCAGATGGAATAGACTCAAAAGCATTGAGTCATAAAAAAGCTTGGGGGTGTCCAGGGCAGGGCTGGTAGTCTTGTGTGGCTAATCAAGGAACAAGGGGTTGGAAAAAGATAGGGCTGGAAAAGGAGGCTGGGCAGGCCCCACGGAGCTTATACTTGCCATGAAAGGATTTTGTTTGATTCTTACAGGTTAGGGGAACCTCTAAAAATTCCTCTGTGTTTAGAAGCTCCTCAGGCTTTGAGGAGGGGTCTCCATACCTCAGGATCCCATGTTGAGTTGATGAGTGGGATGCAGGGGGATGAGGCTTCTGTAGTCACCTTAGAAAGCAGCACTGACTCTAAGTCTTCTCTTATGCAGGGGGGACAAGATATCCTGTCCATGATGGGCCAGCTAATGAAGCCAAAGAAGACAGAAATCACAGGTAGGAGAACCAGTGTGCCCTGTGAGCAAGGGGCAGGGCGGAGGGCCCCACATTCTGAGATGCTCTTGCGGCTCTGTGAGCACAGTCGCCCTGAGGAAATGCCTCAGAACAGTTCTTTCTTCCTCATAGCTTAGAGCTTGACTCTAGCCTAAGTTTCTGGCGGCATTTAGGCAGCCATATAGCACACTGTGTGCTATCTGCCCCACTGCAGTCACAGTTTCTGGCCCCTATGAGGCCCCAGAAATAGGGATTTGTGTCGCCCAGCTCTGCTGGAGCACAGGCTCTGGAGCCTTGGGGCTGTCAGCCCCCTCCCTAGTAGAGCACAGGGCAGCTCCACAGACCAGCTCCACATACTGCCCTGCCCAGTTTGTGGGCACTTCCCAGAGCTCCACAGGGGACACTGCTGCTGCTCCCCTGTGAACCTTTATTTAACCTGCTGCTCTTCCCAGCTTTCCTGTTGCTGTTTTTTTTCTAATTCCACCTACAGTTTCGTCACCTTAAGATGTTAGTTAAACATTAAAGCAAATATTGTCTTTAAAGTTTAAGCCAGGGCAGCAATCTGAGACCTTTCTGTTCGAGTTGTCAGAAGCAGTTTCTTTCTTTTCACACGGTTTTCGGTGTGCATCCTCTTTGGACAATCCCCGCCTCTTGCCTTTGGTGGAAGACGCTGCCTCAGATCTTCCAGTTTTCTATTTGTGAGCTGCTCCCTCCTGATGATAACACAGGAGCTGGTTTGGAAAATGAGCACTGAGACCTTAGCTGGGTTATGTAACTTTTGAGAGACTCATCCCTCTAGGAGCTCTGAGATTGGGCCTTTCTTCAGAGCCTTTCATTCCTCAAAGGTTTCTGCTCAGGATTCTAAAAGCACCCACTTCCTTAGTCCAGGCACTTGATTGAAAGTTAATTAACCTAAGCATTGTTGTATGGGACCAAAAGAAAGGGTCATTTACTGAGTATAGAACAGGTAAATTTGCATGTGAAAACTCATTTCACCCAGGGCTCCCAAACTCCAATGTCTCCCAGATCAGACAGAGCTAGATTGGGTATGTGGGAAGTGATAAGGCATGGTAGGGAGTGTGACAGCAGTGAGCGTGTGCTGTGAAGGGATTCCCATGCAGAACACCTGTGCAACCTTTTTACATTTAACCAAACTCATCTTTTGGGGGAGGCTGCCAATTTTGTGACCTTTTAGGTGTGATTATCACTGTGTTCAGATGACGACACTGAAACCTGGAGTGGGGACACACCCTGTCTGGGATCACATAGCTAGTAGGAAAACTAGGCTCCTAGCATGGGTTTGGATTGAATTCAGGTGGAGGAGAAAAGGCGATAGTCTCCCCCAGCCCTGTGCTGACCTTGCCTGCCCATCCTTGCATCTCCTAGACAAACTTCGAGGGGAGATTAATAAGGTGGTGAACAAGTACATCGACCAGGGCATTGCTGAGCTGGTCCCGGGTGTGCTGTTTGTTGATGAGGTCCACATGCTGGACATTGAGTGCTTCACCTACCTGCACCGCGCCCTGGAGTCTTCTATCGCTCCCATCGTCATCTTTGCATCCAACCGAGGCAACTGTGTCATCAGGTAGGATGGCTGCCTGCCAGCCACAAGGCTTTTTTAACTTCCATCTGGGCTCATTTGTTCCTCAGGATCTCTCCAAACCCCATGAGGTGGGACAGGGATGAGGGGAGGTCATGTTGTTTTTGAGGGAAAATGTGCCAAGTGGCTTGCCTCTGGCCTCATTTCCCTAGTCACCAAAGGCAGCAGCTGTCCTGTCACTCATGAGGAGGGTCTCCCACGTGATCTTTTGGGTGTGATACTACAATTTGGTCGTTCAATTGGAGTGTACAAAGGTGAGATCAGACAGGGCTAGCCTTTGATGACATTATACACATGAACGTCTTCAGTCTTCATCTGCGCTCTGAGAGGTAGGCATTATTGGCGTCATTTTTCAAATAAGGAAACTGGAATCATAACTTGTCCCTCATCGTAAAGACAGGATAAGAACCCAGCTCCTTCTGATAACAAAACCAGCATTTTCTTTCTTTTTTTTTTTGGGGACAGAGTCTCACTGTGTCGCCCAGGCTGGAGTGCAGTGGCGCGATCTCGGCTCACTGCAAGCTCCACCTCCCGGGTTCACACCATTCTCCTGCCTCAGCCTCCCGAGTAGCTGGGACTACAGTTGCCCACCACCACGCCTGGCTAATTTTTTTGTATTTTTAGTAGAGACAGGGTTTCACCGTGTTAGCCAAGATGGTCTTGATCTCCTGACCTCGTGATCTGCCCGCCTCAGCCTCCCAAAGTGCTGGGATTACAGGCATGAACCACCACGCCCGGCCCCAGCATTTTCTTTCTATCCCAGACCTCTGAACCACACTGGTGTCTTTCCATCCTCCCGCTCCACTCTTTCCCATCCCTTTGGCCTGCCTTTGGGAAGGGCAGATGTTGACCCCTGGAAGACAAGTGTTCATACGGTGCTCATCCTGCCAAGATTGGCCCAAAGCTGGGCCAGGAACTTTCCTGCGGTTGCTTTTTCTCCTAAGCACTCTCCACGCTCGTGGTCCTGGAGAACACCCCATCTTCCCATCTCTCAAGCCCAGTGTCAGTATTCCCAGTACCTGGTAGTTTTATTGCTCTTTTGGTTTTCTGTGATCTTGTTTAAACATTAGTGCCTGGTCTCTGCAGTGCTGGGGGCACAAAGGTGGGTGATGAGGGGCCTGTTTTCAAGCCTGCAATAGAGTAGTGTGGGGACAAAGTCCCTGAGGCTGCATGCTCAGGGCAGTGGAGGCAGTGGGAGTTAGAAAGACACCCTGTGGCCCATGAGTATCTCAGGACACAGCTGGAGCCAAACTGAGTTTGAAATAAAAACTGCTGATTTGCCTAACTCAGCTCTGAATGATGGTGGGCCCTATCTAAGATTTTAGTTTGCTTTTAATAGAGAAGCTTTATTATTAAGACTGTCCAAGCTGGGCACAGTGGTATGCACCTGTAGTGTACTCTCTGGGAGGCTGAGGCGGGAAGATTGCTTGAGGCTAGGAGTTTAAGGTTGTAGTGTGCAATGATTGCACCTGTGAATAGCTATCGCACTCCCACCTGGACAACAGTGAGACCTCATCTCTAAAAATAATTAAAAAAAAACAAAACATGCAAACTCTGGTGTTGCTGGCTCTGGGTAAGCCCCACAATGGGGGTTCTGTAGTGCTGTGAGCACTGCAGTATAGCAACAGCCCTTCCCCCTCAGGCGGTTTCTTTCACTTGCAATTAGGAATCGAATGCGTGATTCAAGTCCATGTGGCAGCATCTTGTAGCTACTCTGAATCCCCGTCCGTGATGCTCTCTAGACAAGACCACTGTCATAAGTGCTTCCTAAGTCTTGGAGAGAAAGTGTGTGCCAGATCCAGCATGGCTACTTGGGCAGCTTCTGGAGACAGATGCATGTGGGCCTTATGGCTGGTATGCCTGGCATGCCTGTGGCTGTCTGGACTTGCTTAGCCTTGGCTAGGCCAGGCTGAAGCCTGACAGTGCAGTTGGTGAAAGGGCTCAGCCTTGGACAGATGGTGCCCCCTGCTGGGGAGCTCTGCTAATAGGCTTCCCTCCCTCCACAGTAGGGAACCCAGCCCAGCCCATACCTGCAGAGCCTGGCATCTCTCGTCTCAGAAGTAAGGTCTCTCAGTCCCATCCCACTCAGGACTAAGGTGCACAGAAAGGTGGCCTTGATCTCAGAACCTGCTCAGTGGAGACAAAGCTCTGGTCAGCCTGAGACCCGGGAGATTTGGCCCCAGCCCCATCTGGGCTGATTTGATCAAGGGCTGCTAGAGGTTGTGGAGACTCCTTGCTAGACTGTAGTTACTCAAGTGGAAGGAAGACACTCAGAACATGGATTTTTAGGCAGGTCGGCTCAGGTAACGCAGATTCGGTTGTTTGCTTTGGAAGAGAATTTTGGCACTATGTTCTAGTAGGAAATTTGTTGTAGTGGTGATAATAATGTCAACATGGTAATGAAAAAAGTAATAGCCAACAATAATAGCCATCTGATATGCTTCCCACAGACTCCACCCCTAGAGGGGAACTACAGGGCTTCCTTACCCCCCAGAACCACATCTGATCTCTAGAGCTCCGAAGGAAAGAGAGGGGGAAGGGAGGTGACTAACTGAGGGCTTCCTGTGTGTCAGAAACTATACAGAGCACTCTACATGGGCCATCTCATGTCCTCCCAGGACACCCTGACAACCCTGTGAGCAGTTGAGGTTATCTCCAGACTCAAATGGGAGGTTACCTGCCCAGGCCATAGGCTAGAAAGTGTTGCCACTGGAACCTGAGCCCAGAGGAACGTCTGGGTCCAAACTCCATGCTCTCACTGCTCTCCCACACCGCTTCCCAGTGGACCCTGGGCTGTGAGCGGGGATGGAGCTTTGACGGGGTGCTGCCTGGAGGTGGCAGTGGGGAACTGTTGGATGCTGACAACAGATTGCCGTGAAAATGCAGCCTCCTAGGAGTGTTCTTTCCCAGGTAGTGTACGCTCCCTCTCGGCTTCTTGCCGCTCACCCCTCCCTGTGTAAATGACCCTTGTGGATTGAGCCTCAGAAGTGAGCCCACTCTCTGATGGCCATTGTGTTTTATGGAGCATGCATTTCAGCACAAGCCTGGTTCCCACATGGAAAAATTACAGGCATTGGAGTCACGTGGAAGCTCATGACCCAGGCGAGTTCCTTGACCTCTCTGAATCTTACCATCCTCATCAGGAAATGGGAATATCAGCACCTTTTTTGCAGAATTATGTGAAGAGTAGAAAAAGTGAGTGCAAAGTTATCACCCAGGCCAGCCCTAGAGTATTGCCCTCTTGGAAGCTGATTTCATGCCCCTGCCTGGTCTGCTCTGTGGACATGGCTTGGCCTCAGGGATCTCTGAGAACCCAGCAAGGCATGAAGCCTCTTCATAGCCCCTCCTGACCTTGACAAGCAGCCCCCAAGTCCTTTAGGTCACCTCTCCCTGTGGACAGCTGATGTGGGAGCCGTTCTAGAAGAAGCACCTGTCCCTGGTCCTCTTGATGCTCCAGGCTCCTTCTGGGAAGGGTCCATCCATGGATGACAGGGAGGCAAAGCTCTGTTGCCTTCTTGCCTGGCTCCTCCCTAACTTGCCACCATAAGAAGTCCCTTTCCTTCCAGGCTCAGGATCCTGAACTGTTAGATGAGAGCCCAGCACTGATCCCAGCTTGAAAACTGGGAGATTTTCTCTTCATATTGAGGTATAGCTCCCTGGGATTAGGAGTTCTTGTAGGAGTTTCTCACTGAAAGTCACTTTGTTGCACCAAAACATCAAGACTTAAGAAACAGTATGGACTCTGCTCAGTGTAACCCTGTGGCAGATAGTGTTCCAACAAAAAAAAAAACCAACTTTATGGAGACATAATTCATATAAAATACAGTTTTTTTTTGTGATTTCTAGTGTATTCACAGAGTTGTGCAACCATCACCACGGTCAATTTTAGAACATTTTCATCACCCCAAAAAGAAACTATACCCATCAATAGTCATCGTCCCCTTCTGCACCCTTACCCCCATCCACTGGCAACCATTAATCAATTTTGTCTCTATAGATTTGCTTTTTCTGGAAATTTTGTATAAATAGCACCATATAATCTGGTCTTTTGTGACTGGCTTCTTTCACTTAGCATGATGCTGTAGCATGCGTAGTACTTATTTCTTTTTCCAGCTGAATAGTATTCTATTATATGGAATATTTAATAGTGTATCTTATTTAACCATTCATTAGTTGATGGACATTGGGTTGTTGGGTTATTATGAATAATGGTGCTCTGAACATTTGTGTACAACTTTTTTTTTCTTTCTTTCTTTTTCTTTTTCTTTTTTAAAGTAGAGATGGGGTCTCACTTTGTTGACCAGGCTGGTCTTGAACTCCTGGGCTCCAAGGATCCTCCTGCCTCAGCCTCCCAAACTGCTAGGATTACTGTGAGCTACCACACCTGGCCTATGTACAACATTTTTAAGTGGACATGGTTTTTATTTCTTTCGGTTATGTACCTAGGAGTGGAATTGCTGGGTCCAGTGGTAACTGTTTAACCTTTCAAGGAACTGCCAGCTGTTTTCCAAAGCCAGCTGCATCATTTGACATTCCTACCAGCAATGGACGAAGGTCCCAATTTCTCCACATTCTTGCCAACACTTGTCTGTCTTTTTGATTATAGATATTCTAGTGGGTAATGAAGTAATATCTCATTGTGGTTTTGATTTGCATTGCCTTAACGACTAAGGATGTTGAGCGTCTTTTCATGTGCTTATTGGCCATTTGTATATTGTCTTTGGAGAAATGTTTATTCACATCCTTTGCCCATTTTTTATTCAGGTTCTTTGTCTTTCTGTTGTCGAATTGTAAGAGTTCTTTATATATTCTGGATACTAGATCTTTATCATTTATATATGATTTATAAATATCCTATTCTTTGGATTGTCTTTTCAGTTTCTTGATAGTGTCTTTTGACACACAGAAGTTTTAAATTTCAGTGAAGTCCAATTTATGTTTTTTCTTTTGTTGTTTGTGTTTCTGGTTTCGTATCTAAGAACCCATTGCCTAATCTAAAATCACAAATGTTTATGCTTGTGTTTTCTCCTAAGAGTTTTATAGTTTCGGCTTTTATATATAGGTTTATGATCCATTTGTAGTTAATTTTCATGTAGGGCATAAGTAAGGGGTTGGTCCAACTTCATTATTTTGCATGTGAATATCCAGTTGTCCCAGAACCATTTGTTGAAAAGACTGTTCTTTTTTTATTGAATTGTTTTGGCAGCCTCATCAGAAAATCAAATGGCTGTCTTTTTAGCACTCTTACTGTGTGTCCACTGAGCCAAGGTTAAGTGGATATTAGGTGAGTTACCCATCACATTACCCAGAGAGGTGTTTTTACTGTGCTTTCTGTCAGCAGAAAAGCTTTGTGTTATCCGTGTCCCTGTAGTTACAGGATTACATAAAGAAGCATTTATGTAGTGATTCTTAACCAGGGGCAAATTTGTTCCGCTGGGGACATGTAGCAATGTCTGGAGACATTTTTACTTAACATGACTCAGAAGTGCTGCTGGCATCTAGTGGGTAGAGGCCAAGGATGCTGCTGAACATCCTGGAGTGCATAGGACAGCCCTTCAAAAAGAGTTAATTTGGTCCAAAACATCCACAGTGTCACAGTTATTGTAAGAGGAAAGTAGTCACAAATGAGTCAGCCATGTTGCACATGTGGTGGTATATCTATAGGATACTTTTCCAGAAGTATATTTGTCTTGCTTTTATAGATACGCTGTATTGGATTCCAAGGAGATTTGGGTCTGTGGCTTCATAGCTCCAAACTGTCTATCTGGAGGAAGCTCACTAATGGCCGAGTTTGGACAATTGCTGAATGGTAAAATGTTAAAATTAATAGTAGACTGAGGCCAAAGCCAGAAATGAACTTCTAAGATGCAAGAATAAATCTGCAGATTGACCAAAATGTAATTATTATCCAGCTTCTTATTAGCAGTTTTATAACATTACCATTATGGCTGCCTTGTTAAACTGTGATCCTCCCCACCCCCCGTTCCCCCAGCTCCTGCTGAGGTCAGCACATGGCCTAGCACCGCTGCTGGCACATGAGGGCTCCACTCAGCCAGCCCACTCAGCAGCATCACTGACTAGAACCGTCTCCCACTAATATGGTTTCTAGAAGAAACTTTCTACTTCAGATTCATAGCTTGGACAAATCTCAGAAATGTTTGGTCTTTAATTCCTGAAAAATGCTTAGCAGTCCTCAGCAGCCTTTTCTTTTGTTTTTCTCCTCAAATTCCTTTTTACCACTTGGTAGCCTTTTAATAGACTTTAAAAACTATAAGAAATGTTATTAATGCATTTCTATAAATTCTGTTCTTGTGAAGTTTGATTTGGGAGTACTTTATTTTTCTCTAACCTTTTCTTCTTTAAACTTTTTATGTTTGTTGTGATTTATCATGGGTGGTGTAGAATTTTGGATATTTTTGTCCTTGGGATATTTTAATGTGGCAAAATTGAGATCTTAGGATTTCCTCAAAATTACCAAAAGAATTCTCAAATAAGACTTAAAAAACACTTATGGCCTAAATAGAATTAAAAAACTAAAAATTAAATGTAGTTTTAAAAGGTTATTTTGCTTAATGTGAAGGTTCCAGGCACACCAAATACTGAGATTTGAATCATGATAGAATTTCATCTTTATAATTCTTCTTAATTTTAAAAAGACATTCGTTGCTGGAAAAAGATAAGTTTTCTCTAAAGTTAACTTAATACTTGTATTTCCTATTAGTTTGTTTCCATATTTACTTTGAAGATTTTAATTTTTTTTTGTTTTGAGACGGAGTCTCACTCTGTCACCCAGGCTGGAGTGCAGTGACACGATCTCGGTACACTGCAAGCTCCGCCTCCCGGGTTCACGCCATTCTCCTGCCTCAGCCTCCCAAGTAGCTGGGACTACAGGCGCCCGCCACCACGCCCGGCTAATTTTTTGTATTTTTAGTAGAGACGGGGTTTCACCGTGGTCTCAATCTCCTGACCTCGTGATCTGCCCGCCTTGGCCTCCCAAAGTGCTGGGATTACAGGCGTGAGCCACTGCGCCCGGCTGATTTTAATTTTTTTACATTAGATTTAACAATTCATTAATGTAGCATTTTATTCTCTTTTTGAATTGTTTTTATTGTGGTAAAATGTGTGTAACATAAAATTTGCCATTTTAACCATTTTTAAGCATACAATTCATTGGCATTAATGACATTCACAGGGTGGCATGACCATCGCCACTATTTCTAAAACCATCACCACTATTTCCAAAACTTTTTCATCACCTCAAAAACAGAAACTCTGTAACCATTAAGCATGAAGTCCCAACCCTTCCTCCCCTTAGATCCTGGTAACGTCTCATTTATTTCTGTGTTTTTTTTTTTTTTTTTTTTTTTTTTTTTTTGAGATAGGGTCTCACTCTGTCACCCAGGCTGGAGTGCAGTGGCATAGTCTTGGCTCACTGCAACCTCTTCCTCCTGGGCTCAAGCGATTCTCATGCCTTAGCTTCCGGAGTAGCTGGGATTACAGGCATACACCACCAGGCCTGGCTAATTTCTGTCTCTATGAATTTGCCTACTATAGATATTTCCTATAAAGAAACCAGAAAATATTTGTTCTTTTGTCGGTGACTTATTTCACTTTGCATGTTTTCAGGGTTCATCCTGTGCTAGCATGTATTTTGTTTGCATTTTATTTTTGCAGTCATAAATATGCATTTTTATACCTCAACTGGATAGAATTTAAACAGGTAGATTTTATTTTTACTAAAGTTAAATTTTTAGCATGCTTACTTGTTTTTGAAACCAAATATTCAGATACTAACAAATCCAGTTGACATGACTAATTCTTTGTTATATTGATTACTTATAACCATAGACTGTACAATCCTGCACAAGTTTAAGAATGCCAGAAGTGTAGCCTTTCTGCTGTTAGGACCCCCAGAGGCCAAGGCAGAAGCCTACAGCACTTGGGCCCTCCAAACACTAGCTGAAGGCTGGCCCCATGTGCCACCAGTGGCTGCGCAGGGCACCTCAGGGTCTGGTGGGTTGGCAAGGTTCCTCCCTGGGGTGTTATTCCTATGGCTTGGCTAAGGGTTCAAGAGAAAAATAGGCAAAAGATGGGATTGGACCCTTCTCAAAAAGAAGTAAAATAATATATATAAGGGAATACATTCAAATGCCTCATTAGTAATCAAAGAAATGCAAACTTAAGGTGTTACCTTTCCCTCTTTTTCTAAACTGTTGAAATAGCAAAATATTTCAGAATGAGAATACTCGGTAGTGCTATGATCCTGTGAGATTAGATAACTCATGTGTAGCTCTATAAATTAGGATAGTTATTCATTCAAGTAGCTATTCAGGGTTCTGTCAAGCACTACAACAGTTGCTAAGGAAATGCTTATGGCTGTATGCATCAAATTATCAAAATATCAATAAAAATAATAGCAACAATTGGAAACTACCTAAATGCTCAACAATTTGGGTTAAGTAAAATATTTAATGGATTGTTAAGTAAATATTAAACATAATTATTAAGACTGTTGCAAGCCAGGTGCAGTAGCTCACGCCTGTACTCCAAGCTACTCGGGAGGCTGAGGTGGGAGGAGCCCTTGAGCCCAGGAGTCCAGGGCTGCAGTGAGCTAGAATCATGCCACTGCACTCCAGCCTGGGCCACAGAACAAGACCCAGTCTCAAAAACAAAACAAAACAAGGAGACTGAAGCAACATGAAAAAAAACAAAAAAAACTTGCATACTTAGTATAATTTGTAAAATTATACTATAGAGTATAATTAGTATACACTATATATTATACTATAGGGCATAATTAGTATATACTATATATTATACTATAGAGTATAATTAGTATATACTATAATATAGTATATACTGTATATTATACTATATAATTTGTTTATATATGAATGTTTGGCAAATATCTAGATGATTATTTTTGAGTATGATTTTAGTTATTTTTTTCCTCCTTCCCAGTTTTGCTATGATATTGATGATTACCAAGATAAATAAGTTGGTTTTTTTTTTTCTTTCTTTTTGGAACAGAGTCTCACTCTGTCACCCAGGGTGGAGTGCAGTGGTACACTCTCAGCTCACTGCAACATCTGCCTCACGAGTTCAGGTGATTCTCATGCCTCAGCCTCCTGAGTAGCTGGGATTACAGGTGTGCACCACCATGCCCAGCTAATTTTTGTATTTTTAGTAGAGACGGGGTTTCAACATGTTGGCCAGCCGTTCTTGAACTCCTGACCTCAGGTGATCTTTGGGAGGCCTCTGCCTCCCAAAGTGTTGGGATTTACAGGTGTGAGCCACTGCGCCTAGCCTGAAGTTGTTTTTATGCCACTGGAGGTTAGTCTGTTTACTCTGGTCCTGGCTCTGATTCTTAGGCTGCCTAGCCAGCTGCTTGTGGTGTGAGTGTTGGATCTGTATTTCCAGTGTCGTTTCTTGTCTAACAGAGGCTTAGGTGATGGGATTAATTTTGCCCCTTACAGAGGCACTGAGGACATCACATCCCCTCACGGCATCCCTCTTGACCTTCTGGACCGAGTGATGATAATCCGGACCATGCTGTATACTCCACAGGAAATGAAACAGGTGAGCCTCCCTTCTTCCCTCCTGCTCTCTTCTCTCATTTGCTCCCAGTGTTCACTGGTGGCTGTGCAGAAAGGTATCTGCGGCTTGGATCTGGCTGCCATTCACCATCTCACCACTTAGCTACTGGCCTCGAGCAAGTCACATTACTCCAGAGTCTCAGTCTCCCCATCTGAAAGATGGATTGGTCTAACTAGACATTGCCCCAAGTGTCAACAGAAGCTCAGCTCCCTGTCTTGGCTGTTCGCTTTTCTGCTGTTCCCCCTTTGATAAGCTTTAGGAAAAGGATAGTGAAAAAATCAACATGATGATAGCCATTAGGGAGGCTACCAGCTCTATAAAAAGGAAGCAATAAAATATGATTTAGTGATAGCCTTTTGGTGACCAGGCCAGAATATGCCTGTGGCCTTTTCTACTCAGAGGACAAGGCCAGGCTCGCTGTTCCACCTGAACCAACAGCAAGCCAGCTCCAGCAGGGTACAGAATGTAGCCACCCTGACCTGGAAGAGGCCAGTGCTTGTGTCCTAGCAGAGCCTGTCTGCTGTAAACAGCATGACAAGTTTCTCGGCAGCTTTGGAGGCCGCCCCTGGGCAGGTCTGTGGCTTTGCAATAGAGTCCTTGAGGGCTTCTGCCAAGTCCACAGAGGTGATGGCGAGACAGCATCATACAGCTTAGAAGAGCACCTGAAGGAGGGAGTTTGTGAAACTGATCATATAATAAGAGGCTTCATTGGAGGACCCTTGGAAGCATCTAGCTCAGTGGCTGGCACACCGTGCATGCCCTGAAGTCTGCGTGAGCTGAATCTGGGTTAGGCTGAGTTGGGAGACGACAGGGATGTATGAGCGTGGGCTTTATCCAAAGGGCCACAGTCCCAGTTGTCCCTGTAGGAATTGCCTCTTGCTTGGTTTGGAGCTAGAGCACAACTATGTGCCAAGCATAGGAATACCATTGGACTAGGAATTTCTAGTCACCTTCATGGTATTTCCAGGTATTCCATGTGATCACCATCTATTTTATTTTTTACATTTGAGTCATGGAGCTGTAAGTGCAGGATGCAAAGCCAGGCAGTGCCCTGTAGAGCCCAGGCCATCTTCAGTGGTACATACCCTGAATTGGTGTCTCCGAGGCAGCATGTGCTGTGCTCTTTCCTCTGCCCTGCCCACCTTTGCCCCAAATGTTCTCTTCTGATGGGCTCTGGCATGCAGCCATGGTTGGAGATGCTGAGCAGACTGGGGCTGCAGTGACGTCTCGATGCGCTTTGCCTGGACCTTGTCTTTTCACCAGAGCATGGCATCTTTGTTGAGCATCGTGTTGAGCAGGACATGCCTGGCCAGTTTGATTCCATTTGATCCCCAGTAACCCATGAGGCAGGGAGAACTACTGTCATTGCCATTTTAAAAGATGAGGACATTGCCCAGGCATGGTGACTCACACCTGTAATCCCAGTACTTTGGGAGGCTGAGGCTGGAGGGTCACTTGAGCTCAGGAGTTTGAGACCAGCCTGGGCCACATAGTGACACCCCTACTCACCAAAACATCAAAAAGTTAGCCAGGTGTGGTGGTGTGTGCCTGTAGTCCCAGCTACTTGGGAGGCTGAGGTGAGAGGATCGCTTTAGCCCAGGAGGTCGAGGCTGCAGTGAGCTGTGATGGTGCCACTGCACTCCAGCAGAGTGAGACCCTGTCTCAAAAAAAGACAGATGAGGACACTGCGACCTAGGGTAACTAATTCGCCCAAGTTCATAACATTAGTCAGTGGCTAGCAGGTAATGGGACTGGCTGTAATCCAGGCTTTCTGATCCGGAAACCCGTGTTCTTAATCACCGTGCCACCCAGCTTCCCTCCTGCTAGAAATCTCTCATCTCATTGTCATTAGGATTCATGAGGTGGCTTTCCTCTGGCAGTTTGTGAGCAGGACCTTTCCTTTGGAGCAGTCAGGGCCTCTCCTGGGCCTTTCCTGGCACTTCTGCTGCTCTCCTGTGGCTGGAGGCCCAGCCTGGGCCTGCCAGCATCTCTTACCGCATGCAGGAGTGCTGTGGGGATGCATCAGGAGAGTCACAGATCTCCCTTTGTAACCAGCATTGGCAAATTACTGAAGCAGTTATGGTTCATAGTAGCAATTGTATATGTTACCTAGGAGATGGTGTCAATGGCCGGGGGCCTCATCGCCACGTAAGGGTGTCTTGCCAGGTGACTTGCAAGGGTGACTGCCAGGTTGAAGCCAAGGCATTCACTGAACGGAGGCAGAAGCAGAAACAGTCCCAGGCAATTCTTGGAAAACTGGCCCATTCTTACTGCGGGACATAGCACCTTACTGTTGGGTCCAAAACCCCATGTGTCCTGCCAAAAAAGGCAGCCCAGCACAGATGTGTTCAGGGCCAGAGACACCATTTGCCTACTGAATGACTTGAGCAATTTGGTGCATCTCACCGAGCCTTCACCTTCTCTGTTAAATGGAACATCTCCTCCCTCCTTTGCAAGATTGTCATTAGGATTTGTGAGGTATTGGCAATAACGGGCCCTCCCATCCTTCCCATTGCTGTTGTTATTACTGTATTCATAGCTTTGTGTGCTTCATAGGTACCCTCTAGGGTCCTCTACGTACAACATACAACAGCTTCGCAATAGCCAGTGTTGGAGGCTCCAAGAACGAGGGTCCTGTGGCTATGTGGAGAGTAAGCAGCAGAGCCAGGACTGCCACTCAGAGCTAGTTCACCCTTGCTGCCGCCATTCGAACCCAGAGCTCCTGGCCCAAACAGTCTGGAATGTTCTGTACTGTGCTTCTAGGACAGTGACTTGCCAGGCCAACTCTGGGCTGGGGCTGTCTTGGCTCTGTCAGGAGGGCCTCTCCTCAGGCTTTCTCTCAGGACTCGTGGCTTTGTTCCCGCTGGCCCAGGCGATAACCTCAGCATTTTTACTGGAGCCTGGGGCTAGGTTTTTAAACAAACTCAATGTAACTTGTGTACTCTGCAATCCAAGCCGACACCCTCATAAACTATCCCTGCAGGTTATTAAATGATTAAAGATCTCATTTATGAACTGTCCATTTTCGAGCAGCCTGAGACAGACGCTTTCACGATTGCTCTGACCTGCTGCTCTCTCTAGTGAGAGAGAGAGAGCAGAGTGTCCCTGACATTCTGGAAGCTGAGCCACAGATTCAGTGCATCTCACTGAAGGCGAGGCACTTAGCTTAAGCTGTCTCCTATGACCAGGCTCCAGGATTCAATATTTACATCTCCCTGGAGTTTCAGAAGGTCATCTGGGGACATTTTTCTTGGCAAGACCTGGTGGTTTCCTCAGTCCCAGCTGTGAGTGAGAAGCCGTTTTTACCTTGAAGCTGTGTTCAGGGGGGAGTTCTGTTGTGAGTCCCTCCCAGCTCCTTTTCTTGGTTGTCCTTGTACCATCCAGTAACTTCAGAGGGCCCCTTTTTGCCCAGCTGCATTTAGCTTTGGATTTCAGACAGTGAAGCCCCTCCTGCATAAGCTAAGATTGTTTCAGTGGAGCTCACACCCTGGCAGTTCACCCATGAGCCCAGCAGATACGTTTCATGTGGCCTATGCAGTGTTTGTGAAATGTTTGAACAAGTTGCTGACATCTAGACATCAGGACATTTCTTTCTTTCTTTCTTTTTTTGAGATGGAGTTTCTCTCTTGTTGCCCAGGCTGGAGTGCAACGGCCCAATCTCAGCTCACTGCAACCTCCGCCTCCCGGGTTCAAGCAATTCTCCTGCCTCAGCCTCCTGAGTAGCTGGGATTACAGGCATGTGCCACCACACCCACCTAATTTTTGTCTTTTTAGTAGAGATGGGGTTTCGCCATGTTGGTCAGGCTGGTCTTAAACTCCAGACCTCAGGTGATCCACCTGCCTCCGCCTCCCAAAGTGCTGGGATTACAGGCGTGAGCCATTGTGTCCTGCCAAAATCAGGACGTTTCGTACAAGGATCTGAGTTCTGAGCCTGTCTTGAGAAAAGGGAAGACTGCAGACAACACCTTGCAGCAGTGGTGGCCGCGGGTGGAGGGGCTGCCTCCCCAGGGTGTTTGCTGGCCAAGCATTTCACCCTCACCTGGCTCATCGCAGCCGCTCTGTCCTGCTGGGGCTTTCCAAGGCCTTTCCCATCTGTGGGCAGCCAATGTGCTGTCCCCCAAGCCCAACCGCGATCATCAGAGACTGGGCTCCCCCTGCAGCTCCTGCCCGCAGGGTCCCAGCCTGGAGAGCTGACAGGCGAGGCTTGATGTGGCCACCTCAGTAAACCTCTGGCTCTCCTCCCTCCTGGAAGGCTGAAGCTGGGACTCAGTCTTTCCCAGCTCCTGTGCCTCTACACTGGGTGTGCTTTTATGGCTTTAATTTCAACAAGGGCTTCTTGATATCTTGTTTACGAAGCTGCCAAAGTGAAAAATTCCTGTATTATATGCGGCTCGAAGTCCTGCAGTTATCTCAGCTCCACAACACACAACATCATTATCCTGGCTGCCCCTTATCACTCAGTGCTGGTACGCCTGCAGGATCCTGGTCCACCGTGTTACAGCATCCCCGCCGCCAGCCTGCCTCCCCTCCAACTCTACCAAGATCTTCAAACTGCAACAAGCGTCAGCCTCTTCTTGATAGATTAGATATCTCCCGGTGATGTTATGAGGCCTGGTAAATCTTTAAAAGTAACTGTTTTGATTTATTTAACCATCATATTTATCAAGCAAATAAAAAATGTCCCTTCTTGCCTGAGTGCTTGTAGGCAGTAGTGCCCATGCTGGAGAGGAAGGTTAGAGCCCTTGCAGGAGCCCCGGGTAGGTTAGAAGAGGCCCCAGTTCTCTGCCTGGGGACAGGGGACGGGAGGACATGGAGGCAAGAGTGAGCCACTTGGGAAGCTGCATACCTCCTTGGGCACCAGCCACACTTGAGTCAGTTGAATACAGCACACTGGCCGTGATGCTATTCATGCATACTGCAGGGCCGCACATGCCTCCTGGAGGGTGCCGGGCCGGCAGTGCTGGGCAGGCGTTGGCTCCCTGCCCACCAACCCAGGTCTCAGTTTCTCTTATGCTGCACAGTGAGAAATCTGAGCAACATTGTCTTTAAAGCACTTTAGAAATGGGGCACTTGAGGTCAGTCACCGTTGATCATGTTTTTTATCCTTTAAAAGATCATTAAAATCCGTGCCCAGACGGAAGGAATCAACATCAGTGAGGAGGCACTGAACCACCTGGGGGAGATTGGCACCAAGACCACACTGAGGTGAGCTGGTACCCTGGGCCCGCCGGGGCCTCCCCAGCACAGCCAGGGCCCTCGCTGGGGTCATTCTGGACAATAAAGGCAGGTCCCTTCCTAGGGCATGGGACTCTATCCATCCGCTCTTCCTGGCGCGATGGGTGCCAGGGCACTTGAGTTTCAAATGCAGAGGATCTATCTGATGGTTTTTAACAAGCTAGAGTAAGGGTGAAGTCCCCATGTCCTGCAGCAGATGCTCCCCTCTGGTGGAGAGTGCTTTGACCCTGGGCCTTCTTGTGGCAGAGAAGATGCACAGAACTAGAGAGCAGGGACCATGTGGTAGCTCATTAGCCAGGGCCCTGGCTCCTGTTCTCCCGGTGGTGTTATGAGGCCTGGTAAATCTTTAACTTTTTTGATTTATTTAACCATCAAGCAAATAAAAAATGTCTGGGTGGTGGATATGGAGAGCCAGGGAGGAGCGCAGACATAGACAGTTCTCCTAATTGTTCTCCAGCGGCTCAAACACAGGACCGGCAGAGCATGTCCCTTCACAGTGGCCTGACTCATTGTAAAATCATTGCTTCACAGTCCTCAGCCCTTCCCTACATCCCTTGAGTCAGTTCTTGCTCCTGAGGTTGAAGGCAGAAATGCAAGCTGTGAGGTTTGGATGAAGGGGTACTTTTTAAAACGGCAGAGTCTTCATGCCTTTGGATGGGCATGTACTTCCAGCTGGCTATGTTTTCATTTCCCTGCCATGTTAAATATCCCTATCTGTCGGACACCTGTATACATATAAGTTTGCAGTCCTTTTCCAGTAGCAGTGACATTACTTCCTACTGGAGGATTTGTAGACTGTACTAAAGATTTGGGGAATAGCACTTATGTCTTCTTGGTGGCTCCTGGACCCTCTCTGATGGGATAATGACTGCAGCTCTCTGAGAAGTGACAACTTTGTCTCCCCTTTTCTGTGTTCGTAGCAGCTGGCACAAGCCCAGCACTGGGCTCTGCTCCTGGTGCCAGTGCTGCCTACTGATGTGGGGGGAAGGTGCTTTCTTCGGTGGCCCCAGTTTCACTCCAGCCCTGGCCCCTGTCCACTCTAGGTACTCAGTGCAGCTGCTGACCCCGGCCAACTTGCTTGCTAAAATCAACGGGAAGGACAGCATTGAGAAAGAGCATGTCGAAGAGATCAGTGAACTTTTCTATGATGCCAAGTCCTCCGCCAAAATCCTGGCTGACCAGCAGGATAAGTACATGAAGTGAGATGGCTGAGGTTTTCAGCAGTAAGAGACTCCCCAGGTGTGCCTGGCCTGGGTCCAGCCTGTGGGCGCTTGCCCCTGGGCTTGGGGCTGCCGTCCCCACTCAGGCGTGGTCTGCAGCGCTGTCAGTTCAGTGTGGAAAGCATTTCTTTTTAAGTTATCGTAACTGTTCCTGTGGTTGCTTTGAAAGAACCCTTCCTTACCTGGTGTGTTTTCTATAAATCTTCATAGGTTATTTTGATTCTCTCTCTCTCTCTCTCTAAGTTTTTTAAAAATAAACTTTTCAGAACAGTTTTAGATGTACAGAGTCATTGTGAACATACAATAGGGAGTTCCCATGTATCTTGTACCCAGTTTCCCTTCTTGTTAACGTGTTACATCAGATAGCACATTTGTCACCGTGAATGACCAATACTGATGCATTATTCTACTGCGTTCACATTTTCTCAGTTTTACCTAATGTCCTTTTTCTGTCCCAGGATCCCATCCAGGATAACCCATTACAACTAGTTGTCATGTCTCCTTAGATGCCTCTTGGCTGTGACATCTTCTTAGATTTTCCTTGTTCTTGATGACCCTGACAGTTTTGAGGAGGACTGATCAGGTATCTGTAGAACATCCCTCAGTTGGGGTTTGTCTGATGCTTTTCTCATGAGTAGACTGGGATTGTGGGTTATGGAGAGGAAGACTAGAGGTGAAATGTGGTTCTGATCACATCGTATCATGTGTGGTTCTCATCACATGCTAGCAACATGACTCATCGTTGATGGTGAGCTTGACCCTTTGGCTGAGGTCATGTTTGTCGGGTCTTCTCACTGTAAAGTTACTCTCTGCTGCCTTTCCATACTGAATTCTTTGGAAGGAAGTCACTATATGCAGCCCACACTTAAGTGGCAGGGGTTATGCTCACCTCTAGAGAACTGAGTATTTACCAAAATTATTTGGGATTCTGCATGGAAGATTGTATCAGAATGGACTTACGGAAGTTCATTGTATACTTTAGTAGATTTATTTTGTTGCTCAAATTGAGCCAGCTTTGGCCAGTGAGAGCTCTTGTCAGTTGGCTCGTGTGTCCCTATCTCTGAAGTGTCCCTCTGAAGTGTCCCTATCTCTCTGGCCGAATCTCTGCGTTCGCCCACTAAGTAAGCAGCAAGGGCAAGTGCAGCACTGGGCAGTGCACCTTACTGGAATGTGCCTTCCCAGTAGGATGAGAGCTGCGTTCTTGCCCTTGCCAGGCCTGTCCTTCCCTGCTGGCTCCGTGGTGCCTGAGGTGGGGCTAAGTACCCGGACGCTGTTCCCAGCACTTGCTCCTTGTGCTAGTTCAGACTGGATCTCCGTGCTGTAATGATATGGGAGGCAGGGCTGACTAGGATGGTCATCTTGGTCCAGTGCTTTAGTTCAGACTAACTATGAGCTCCTTGTGGGGCAAGCAGCATTGTCCTTCCATTAGGGACAGTCCCCTGTAGTCATGTCAAGGGGACAGTGGGAGGGGGCGGAGATGATGCTGGGGATTCCATCTAGCCTGAGAGGCCCCAGCCGTCCCTGCTGCCAGAGTGAATCTTCTCCCTCGGCCTGGCCCCTGAGGAGACACTGGCATGCACAGCAGTGGTGGTGGGACCCTTCATGAAGTCAGCTGTGCATGTGGCCCATGCCGGCTGCCAGTGTCCTCTGAGGCTGCGCTTGTCTTTAGCCTCCCCACTCGAGCCATGTTAGACAAACAGAAGAGAGATGCAGCAAGAGCTTATTGCACCAGGGACTGTGTTCACACTCTGCGTTCCATGTTGCCTTCACAGTAGCCTGTGAGACTGGGATAGGTGTGCTAGCCCACTTCCAAGACCACTTCCACAGAGGAGGCAAGTCCCTTGGCCAGCTAGTGAGAGATGGAACCAGGATTTGAAATCAGGCTGCTTGGAACCTGTGTTCCTAACTCCTGGGGGCCATACTGCCTCCTTCTGTGTTGGCATTTAGCAGCAGCTAGGAGCTGTCAAGATCTGACCTTTGTACCAGCCAGGTGAAGGAAGCGGGGTCCGGTGTGGGGAAGGTGACCCACCTAGAGGACCAGAACCAGGCCTCTGCCCTGGCTGGGCCTCTCACTTGGGCTCCAAGCCTTTCATGCTGTTTAAGGAGCAAGATGGAAGTGGCGCTGACAGCAGATCTCACAGCCGCGGGTGGGGACAGAGTCTTCTTCGGCTGCCCAAGGTACCAATATCCAGATCAGCCAGGTGAGGAGGGGACCGTGGTCTTGCTCTTCCTAGGCCACAGACCCCTGGTTCCTGCCCCTCAAATATCCTAGCTGAGGTGGTACCCAGAGAGATGGCCCAGTTCGCTGGTCTGTGCTCCAAAGTGAGGGAGATGGTTCTGGATAGGTAGGAAGGTGGGATTATTTTAATTTTCCTCCTATTTTTTCCAGCAAGGCCTGTGATTATTACATTAATCTTCCGGGCGAAGTTTTTACGACTGATCCCTCACCAACTATGAGAAGTTTCTCCATCCATTACTAAGAGGGAAACAGACCCTGGTGGGGAGGAAAATATTTGTTACATCTTATCAGGCTGACACACAATCTAACAACAATTACAGCAGCCTCATTTTTTGCACTATTTCAGCTCCAGTGTGAAAAATTGTTGTAATATTAAAGTGAGGCAGGGTGGGGGCTGGTCATCGGAAGTGGTTGAATATTCCAGGCTCTCAGCGCAGGCTCTCTTGGGTGCCACCCAGGGAGCTGATTGGGTGGCTGAGGAGAGGGAGGGAGGAATTTTCACATAAATCCCAGCGCCCTGTCTCCTGTGCTAATGGCCCCAGAGATACTTGTGAGACTGGGAAGGGCTCTTGAAAGACGCGTCCCTGGCCCTGGCAGGGAAACCACCTTGTGCCCTGCCTCATTTTCTCAGTGCAGATACCTTCTTACTGCCACATGTCTTAGGGTTGCACCTGCCAGATTGATTGGTAGGATAGTTTGTTTTTTAGGACTAAATGAATCATGCTGTCACACCAGAGAGTGACTTCTTGGTTAGCAAACCTTAGCCATTTGTGTAATAAAATGGGGGTACAGAAGGGGGCTGGGGTTGCACTCCCAGTCGACCTCTATCCCTCAGAAACTGGCCAGCCCTGGGCAGAGCAGCTGGGGTACCCCAAGAAGGCCCTGCTCTGGAGGGCTGTGGGCAGAGGAGCAGTGGGAGGGGACCCAGGGGTTCTGGGGCTCAGCAGGGCATGGTATTGATTGCATTTTCCTCCTCTGTGTGGCCCTTGGTCCTAGCCCCATGAGTCTTTGGTTTCCTGGTGTGTGAGTGGGAAGTTCATATCCCATAGACCCATGTGAGGACTTGGTGAAGTGACCCACATGTAGCTGTATCAGGTACCCAAGAGACTAAGAGGCAGTAAAGAGTTCCTGATTCCTGGCCCACTTGGAAAGAGGTCACAGTTTGTCAAACTGGAGGAAGCAGCCTGCTAGGCCCTGCCCCTCCCTATCGCAGACAGCTGGCACTTGGAAGGACCCTTAGGATCCCCCTGTGTTTGGAAAAAGCCCTGTAGCCCAGAGGGGCCAGCACTGGCTCAGGGCCACACAGCCCAAGAGCAGAGGGGGTAGCACGGGGCAACTGCCAGAAACAACGCACTGCTTCTCACTGGGGCCCTAGCATCCCATCCTGGGTGAGGCTCAGCTAGGGCTGAGGCAGCCAGAGGGGGCGAAATGACCACCCCCTTGTCCCAGCCAGTGCTGGTGTTTGTCAGGTCAGACCTGCTCTCATTTGGTGTCTGGGAAAGAGGTCCCTCGGGAGGTAGAACAGTGTTCACCCCCTTCATCCGTGGTCATCCATTCATTCTCCACACAGAAGTTCCTCTTTCTTGCTTCCTCCAGTATGCAGCCACTCCCCTTCCATTTGTTCTGGGGAGAGCAGGCCATAAGAGGATAGGGGGTGAGGGAGGCCTGGGCAGGGGGGCTGGGGAGCTTAGGGTGCAGGGCGGGCCACGCAGCAGGGCCCCGGAACTGTGAAGGGGTGGGCCGGCCACGGGGGCTGCCTGTCGTCCCCTGCTGCCCTGCCGCCCCTCCCGTCACTTGGCGGCAGGCACGGTGATTAATGGCCAGGCCGTGCGGGCTGGGCGGCCATCAGCGCGCGTCTCGGCGACGGATGCGGCTGTCAGGCCGGCCCGGCCCGCGCTGACCCCCGGGCAGGGGCCCGGCGCGATCAATGGGCGGCGCGCAGCGGGCGGCGGCTGGGCCGCCGCGATAAGATGGGCCGATGGGCGCCTGCCGATTGCCCGCTCCGTCACCCGCCGTCACCGTCACCGTCACGCCGCCAGCACGCAGATCAGCGCCGTCAGCGCCGCGTGATTAATGGGGACGCCGGCAGCTGCGGGGAGGGCGCGGGCATGCGGACCCCGCACCCAGAGGGACATGGTGGGGTGCGGGGTGCGGGCTGGGACGCCGCACACGGCACGCTGCACTTACACTGGAGCCGCATGCAGGGAACGGGGGACACGGCGGGATGCGGGCTGCAGGTCTGGGGCACACGGCGCAGGTTTTCACGGGGCTGCGCGCGCGCGTGTGTATGTAGTGGGTGGAGGTCCCGGTGCCACCGTGACACAAGGGCCTGAGTGACTTAGGCCTGAGGGGTGGGGGGAGGAGGGACCACACCTACTGTGACCTCCCCACCGCGATCCCTGCCTGGCCTAGGCCTCAGCCACCAGGTCCACCAGCCTCTTCGGTCTTTGCAAGCCTGCCCACTGTCCCAACCATCTTTGAGAACCCAGACTAGACGGTCAGGACCCCGACCCAAAACCCTTCCACAGGTCCCATGGCTAAATCCCAGGTTCCCCACCCTCCCGGCAGGCCCGCAGGAATGCCGGCCCCGCCTCTCCATGCCGGCCGCCCCCCTGTGCTCCTTTAGCTGTCATCGCAAGTGGTCCCGTCCCCCAGAGCTTCGTCCCTGGGTCGGGTCATGCTGTTGGGGACGCCCTGAGCGCTCTCAGCGCACCGTTGGCCCTGCTCGCTCCCCACCGGGTGAGGAGGGCAAGAGCCGGCTTCCCACCCCCCTCCTCCGCGCCAGAGCGCACAAATCCCCACTCGAAGCGACCTGCCTCTGAGGCACTGCCCCTCCAGAATAGCGCTGGTCCGCCGGGACCCACTCGGAACTCGGGAATCGGGAGGGAGAGGCTCGCCCAACCCAAATACCCACATGCCGCCAGGGAGGAGCCGTGTGCCAGGTGTGCAGAGAGGGGGCCGGAGGGCTTCCCAATGCCAGTGACAGGAGCGCAGCAGGGACAGCCGGGCGCGAGTGTGGGACTGACCCGAAGTCCGAACTGCCAAGGAGAGCGAGACGAGGGGAAGGGGGGGGCCCCGGCTGGGTGGACTGGGGCCTATCCCGTGGGCAGTGGGGATCTCAGGGCCAAGCGGCAGCGGAGGCAGGACCAGCCACTCTCACTTTTCCCCTCGAAAACCACAGCGTTCCAGGGCCGCGAGGCACCCCGCGGGAGCTTGCGAGGACACAGCGCCCCCGTGTGGGCGGACGCGCACAGAGTCGCGCCCGTGGCGTTTCGGGCCCAGGCTCCGCCCCCGCCGCGCTGCCCCTCCCCCCATGGGGGCGTGGCCAGGCCTAGCCCAGGGATCCGAGATTCCAAGTCACACCCAGCACGACTTGGGAAGTCGCGACGAAAGTGCGCGACTTCCCAGCAAGCGAGGTTGAAGTCCCGGCAGGCAGGGAGGAAGGCGTGTGTCCCCCCGTGCATGCGGGGAAGGAGCAGTGGGGGAAGGCTGAGTTGGGCTTTCAATTAAAAAAAATGTGCATACACTTAGTTTTTTGATGCAAAATTGCCAAAGGCGTGTACCGTGAAAACCTACCTCGACACCTGCCCCCTGCCTCCTGTTCCCTTTCCGGAAGCGCCTGCCTTACACCGGTGTGTTCCTCTAGAGATGGCCAGGACCTGGGTGAGGCAGCACACACTCACAGGACCTTCCCAACACTCATTATGAAACATATCACATGGAAAACTGCAAGAATTACAGGCAATCGCCTCTCAGCCTTTGGCTAAGATCAAGTGTAGTGTTCTTATCACTTTAATATCTGCTATCTGAGGACAGTATGTTAAATGGATTTTTGGAGCAGGGAGATGGAATAGGACCTTGCTCTTTCCACTCCATGCATCCACCTGGTATTGCAGTACCTCCAGGAATAGTGCACCCCCTTTGGGGGAATAAAAAAAAAGGATTGCAGGTGAGCCCCCATATCCCTGTCATCTAGGCACTGCACTGCCCATCCCCCTGTCTGCCTGCCAGTCAGTCTTGTCAGTCTTCTGTGCATTTCAAAGTGAGTTGCAGATACAACAACCTCTGTAAATAGTTAAGCATGTGTATAATTATCTAGAGTTCAGTACTTGATTATGGTTTTTTAAGTTTTTTTTTTTTTTTTTTTTTTTGAGACGGAGTTTCGCTCCTGTTGCCCAGGCTGGAATGCAATGGCGCCATCTCAGCTTACTGCAACCACCGCCTCCCGGGTTCAAGTGATTCTCCTGCCTCAGCCTCCCAAGTAGCTGGGATTATAAGCGCATGCCACCACACCCAGCTAATTTTGTGTTTTTAGTAGAGATGGGGTTTCTCCATGTTGGTCAGGCTGGTCTTGAACTCCTGACCTCAGGTGATCCACCTGCTTTGGCCTCCCACAGTGCCAGAATTACAGGCATGAGCCACTGTGCCCGGCTGCTTATGGTTATTTTTAAACGTTAAAAATACAGTGAAATGTACAAATCCTAAGTGGAGCACTCCATGAGTTCTGACTAATGAAACCCAAATCCCAGTGAAGGATATTACTATTGCCCAGAAAGTTCCTTGTGCCAATCTCTAACACACTAGAGGCAACCACTGTTAGAATTTTTTTTTTTTTTGCAATAGATTAGGTTTTCCTGCTCTAGAATTTCATGTAAATGGCATCATACAACATGACTTGTTTCTTTCACTTAGCTTTTGAGCTCCTGAATGTTGTGTGTATGGATAGTTTATTTTTTATTGCTGGGTAAAATGCCACCCTGTGGATCCACCACATGTATCCATTTGCCTGTTGATGGCCACCTAGGCTGTTCCCTATTTTTCAGCTATTATGAACATTCTTGTACAAGTCTTTGTATAGGCATATATTTTCATCTTGGGTTTCAATACCCAGGAGTAGAATAGCTGGGTGTAGGGTAAGTGTATGTCTAGTTTTATGGGAAATTGCTACACCTTTTCCTGATGTAGTCTATTAGTCACTTCCTACCCCCCTTTTAAACACAAATGGTAGCATACGCTATTGTTTCTTGCTTTCTGTATTCTTCCTTGACAGCATATCTTGGAGATTCTTCTAACTCAACATATAAAGAATGTCCTCCTAGTTCCTTTCCACAGGGAGGAGCTGCTGTAATTTATTCAGCCCCCTCCGATGGGCATTTAGATGTTTCTAGCCTTATTGAGCTGTGCTTTGAAGGATGAACAGGAGCTTGTCAGGCAGACAGCAGAGGGAACAAGGCCCACAGGTTTGACAGACACTGCAGAACCCTTACTGCTGGGGCATGAGCTTTTAAGAGGAGAGGCACCTTCTGTTCCATTTCCCCATGAGGCTCAATAATGTTTGCTGAGTGGAAAGGAGTGGGTAATGTGGCCCTAGAAGGGATTGGGGCAGGGGAGTGAGGTGGGCACTACCACTTAGGGGCACACCTGGCTCTCCAGAACCAGGCATTGGTAGGTGCTGAAGCTCAGGTTGGGGCTTTTGCTGACTCTCGGACAGTGCCACATGCCCATCCCCTGGCCCTCATCAGGAATCCGTTGCTCTTCCCCAGGCCATGGGGCTCAGACCCCTCAGAAATGAGATGGGAGGCTCATCCCAGCCTTCCTGAGGACTTCATGCTGGCCTGGCTTCAGCAGGAGCAGGCTGGGGGCGGGGTATGGGGTAGGGCATCAGCAGGTCCAGGGAGGCAGTGGTAAAGCAGCACCATGGATGGAGCGGAGTGCCAGTTGAAGCGGGTGCTGCCCCTGAGCCAAGGGCAGCAAGGGGAAGCTCCGGGGGTGGGGCCTGTTTCCCTAGACTCCTCATTCCTTGCCCCAGCTACGTCCCTAGCAGAAGTACCTGCAGGCAGGACCAGCAGCCAGACAGGGACTTGGAGTAGGAAGTGAGCCTTAGGCTTTTTGTCCTGGCTCGGGAGCTAAGTGACTTTTGGCCACACTCTATTTCCCTGGGCCTCAGTTTCTTCACCTGTAAAATGGACGGACTTGTTTCCTCCTGGGCCTCTAGTGGGGTGAAGTGAGAGCACATGTAGGAAGTGGCTGGGACAGTGCCTGCCCCAAGGGAAAAAGCAGAGTAAGCCTTACCCCCCCATCACTGTGCATTAGTTCCCTGTGCATGGGGAGGAGCCAGGTGGAGAGACACCAGGGCCTGCCATCTTGAAGCGTGCGTGGCTGCTGGAATGTGGGCTCCGTTTGCTCTCAGGCAAGAGGGGCCACGGCCACAGGTGCAAACGAATACCTGAGGCACGAGAGATGGCCTACTGCTTCCCTGGGGCAGCAGGTTTTCTAACATATTTATACTGGCAAGCACCCTGCCTGCCTCAGCAATTCACAGCGCCTGGCTGGTCTGGAGCCTGAGGCCACGTGCTGTGCTCCTGTCCAGGGCCTCCCTGAGCCCTGAGGCCAGCAGGTGCAGAGGGAGCGCGGGGCAGACCTGGCTGCACATGTGTCCTAGCAGTCTCAAAACACAGTGCTGAGGTGTGGCTTCTGCAAGGCCAGGCCCACACCTGTCCATCAGGTGGTCTCAGAGGAACCATCCTGCTCTGACCCAACTCCCCTTGGAAATCAGTTTCCAAGACAAGGTCTAAGACTACAAGGAAATACTGAGGCTGGAGCCCAGCTAAGGAGTAACGACCTCCCACAGCCCTGGTCAGGCCTGCCCTGGGGTTGCCCACCCACCTGCCCCTCAAGTTCCTGAGGAAGCACCAGGCCCAGGTGGTGGGGACGGCGGCAGGTTTGGGGTGAGGCCCTGTCCAGGACTGGGGAGAGTGGAAATGTGGCCTACCACTGGGGGCTTGGTGTAGAAACAGAAAGACTTCTAGACACGTTCTAAGGGAGCAGCCACAAGCCTGCCACTCCCACCCACACAACACTGGGTCCTTCTGGCTTGGCTACAGGTCGGGTCTGAGGCCAGCCTCACAACCAAGTTAAGACTTCTCCAATCACCAGCTGGGTACTGGAGCTGAGGCTCAAAGGGCTTCGAGTTATGGGGCCCTAGGCTCCTGCTAGAAGGTTCCCACTCTTCCACGGGGTGGCAGGCGCCCTGGCTCAGCGGAGGCCTCTGCATTCTCACGGGACAGCCAGTGCACTCTGCCTCACGGGCAGAGCCCTGCAGCAGCTCCACATGTGGCCCAGCACCCATATCACTTTATCACAAATGTGAGCACCAGGTTGACATGACCATCAGAAGGGAACTTTTCCAGGCAAAATGCCTGAGTGCCCCAACCAAGCCTTTGACACACACAAAGCTGCAACCAAGCTTTGCGCCTCACTGGCCTTTTTGGGAATAAAATCTAATTTAAAATCAAGAGAACATGATCAAGTACCTTGTAAAAAACTGGCTTTATTTGTCACTTATTCACCTTATCTCAGTTATGCCATTTTGGCGTCCACAGTGACAGTCCCCTGGAAGCTGGGGTCAGCCCCCACCCACCCACCGTGACCATCACCCACAGGGCGTGAGTGTGGGCCTTGCAGGGCCCAGCCGATGGTTACAGGCTGCAGGCGGGACTATGGGGCTCCTCCTGAGGCCTGGTGCCTTCCAGCCCCCTGCCCACCAGCTTGGGTACAGCTGCCTGCCTGCCAGAGGCCAAGCATTCCTAAGCGTGGGCTGGGGGAGGCCCTGCCCCTCTGTAGCAGCAGAGCAGACAGGGCAGTGGGAGAACCATGTGGGTAGGAGGGCATCAGGTCTCAAGAGCCTCTCCCCTGCTCAGGACTGGGTCTAGACAAGGCCACGTGTGATAGGGTGGTAAGCCCTGGGCCATATGGAGGAGCCTGGGGCCCATCTTGGTTCTGCTGCTGAGTTGCTGGGTGGCTTTAGGCAAGTCCCTTCTTGTCCCTTGGTCACTCTGTTTCCTGGCTAGCACTGCCAGCAAGGTCTCCAGAGTGTGCCCCTCTGCCGGGCTGTGGCGGTGGCCCTGTGCTTTGCAGGCTGCCGTGTGCCCACTGTCAGAGTGGGGTCTCCCCGACAGGCTGCACGCACCCCCAGGCCCCCTTCTTAGGATCAGGGCATCCTGCAAAACATCCTTGGTCCCACCAATGTCTAAAGCCAGCTCGAAACCTCGAGCTCCTCAGGATCTTAGCACCCAACTCTGCTGCCCTTGCTGCTGGGCAGTGCCTGTCCTAAGAGGGGACTCCCTAAAGGCCAGAGAGAGGGTGCTCATCTCCAGGACCTAGGCCACCTGTCAGCACAAACAGAACTTATTCCAGACATAAACATGAGTCTTCTTATTTCAAACACTGGAGCAACTGATCAACACCACCACAGCCCATGCACCCCGAACCTGACTTCACTACCAACCTTGAGCCTGTGCTGTCCTCTCTCTGCTGACGACACTGGTGACGCAGAAAGGAAGTCGGTGGTGTCTGCTCACTTGCGTGCAGTCCTAAGCACAGTAAGAAAATTCTGAACACAGCTGGGTGATCTTCAGCCCAGAAGGTGTAGGGGCTTGTGAGCACTAAGTCAGTTTCTGTCCATGTCTGATAGCTACCACAATGTCTCCCCTTGCTAGGGCAGCTGCGAGGAGACGTGTCCAGTGATGACTGGCAGAATCTGGACAAACGGACATCACTGCAAGGGTCTGTCCACCTAGCTTGGCCAGGCTCAGCTTGGCAGAGCTGATGACCCAAGTGGACTAAACACGGAGCTAGCAGAAACAGGCAGACTCTAAGCCCAACCAGAAGAGTCAGCTAGAAGAGCCAATAGGTGCACAGACAAATCCACAGATGGCCAGGAGTGTCTTCTGGGAAAGCCATCCCTCTCTTTTGGAAGAAGTTCTGTCCTTAAAAAAATCACTTTTAAAATAAGGGAAAACAATGGTGTCTTAGAGAGAAACAGTCCTAAGCCAGATATTCCCACGCCTGATTGTGAAGGAGACATGCCAGCAAGGTCCCACGTCTCCGGGAAATACATGATCTGCTCCCAGCTTCACACCCTACTGCCAAAATGAAACGTAGACATTTCAGTGTTTGTGCTTCCAACCAGAGTGAGAAATTCCCTTTGTGGGGAAACAGGTGAGACGGCTGCAGCCGCATACAGCACTGAGAAGGTGCAAAGGTTAAAACAAAAGTTACATGGACACTTGGGGACAATCCTATACCATTCCCACTTCTCTGGCAGTCGGCTGAATAAAATTTCACTTTCACAGTTCTTTTTGCCAGTGCCAGGATAAAAAGCAAAATTTTAAATTGGAAAATGTCTAGCACTTTACACAGTGGAATGAAAGAATACGAAATTCAAAAACATTATTAAAAGTCCATATGCCGCAGCAGCACGCGCCATGATGAGAGCTCCCCTTCCGAGGCGCTTCTGGAGCAGCTTCCTCAACCTGTCCGGGAGACGGGCTCAGAAGAGCAGGGCCCCCATGCTGCCAACCTCGCTTTGCTCCTTAACGAAGATCTCAAAGTACTGGTAGATGATTGTGACTGCGAGCAGGATCCCGGTTCCAGACCCAATGGCGCCTAGGAAGTCAGCCAGGACCGAGAGGGCCCCGATGCACAGCCCACCAAAGGCCGCGGCTGTGGGGATGTACCTGGGGGAGGGGACACAGTCAGCTCCTGGACACCCACAGAGCTCCCCGTGAGCCAGGCGGCCAACAGGCTCACCTGAGACTTTGGGACCTAATGCCTCAAAGGCCCCTCTGCTGTCTCCTAGAAAGTCATCTACTAACATGCTAGCGCTCTAGGCCAAGGCGCTGCTGTCCAGGCAGTGGCCACACTGGCCACACGTGGCCAGGGGACTGTGACTAGACCAAACTGAGATGTCACATAAGATTTTGGAGATTTGAAGACAAGGATGTAAAATATTTCATCATGGTTTTTCTTAACATTAATTATAATGTTGAAATGATACTTTGGATATACTAGGTTAAATATATTAAATTTAATTTCACCTGTTTCTTTTTACTTTTTTAATGTGACTTCTAGAAATTTTAAAAACTACATGTGACTTGAATTCTACTTCTACTGCACAGTGCTGTAAATCCAGCAGCTTAATATTAAGAGAATGAACTAAATTGCCTACCATCCCTGCTAGGGATTAGAAAATGATCTGAAGTTTGCAATTCTGGCTTTTCCTGTGGTTGCTTCCTTTAGGTAAGGCCCATAGGACAACCTGGTCTGCAGCTGACTTTGTAGCCAGCTTTGTAGGAACACGGCCATGCTCATTTGTCTGTTGTCTGTCTGTGGCTGCTTCTGAGTGACGATGGAAGAGATGAGTAGTTGTACTGAGGACTGTGCAGACTGAAGAGTGCTGTGGCAGCATCTAAGGTCACCTGGACTTTGCCCTTCCTTACCTAACTGCTCCATCTCCAAGGGTACAGCTGTATCTGGCACCATCACCTCTGGCCCAAACTCTCACCACAGCCTGGCAGGTATGTGGCCTCCCCCTCTCCCTCTCTAGCGTGGTTTCATGTATTAGCACTGACCTTCCTAAGAGACTGCAGGCTCCATCCCTTCTGCCCTGCTTCAGATGCACATCAACCCCTTCCGTGCCCAGCCACTGCCAGCCTCTCTAGCCTTAATGCCACCACAGGCCCCAAAATGCGCTCAGATGCCAGGACCTGCCTGCTCTGAGCTCAGAGTGACCCTCCTCCAGGGCGCTCTCTTCAGCACCCCACCGGCATGAGCCAGGGTGAGGGTCCCGCTGCCAGTCACAGCTGTTGCTCTCAGGACCCTTACTGCACTGTCTCCTATCCGCCTGGCCACATGCTTCCATCTCCTTACCCAGTGGCTCCCTCTGGAGGAAAGGGGCTGTAAGTGTTTATTTTTACGTCTCCAGTGTCCAGCACTTAGCAAGTTTATAAATATATAACATTTAATTCTGTCCTGTAACCCAAGGATAAGATTTAGTGACCCAGTAAGTGCTAGGGCCTATCAGGATGCCCTGCATGGAAAGAAACAACACATGTCCACAGACGGGAGGTTGGGGACCTGGGGCCACCACTCACCGGTTGAGTTCATGGACCATGGAGGTCTCTCGGTGGCCTCTCATCACCATCTGCTGCTCCTTCAGCTGCTTTGCAACCTGCAGGGTGCCCACAGGGGAGAAGTTGGAATTGGAGGCTGAAGGGGAAATAGGCATTCCAAGTGGTACTGAACAGTTACAGATCGCCTCTTCGAGCACTGACAATATTCATACAGAGAACTTTAAAACTGCCGCAAGGAAGTCATATGAAAAAGTCTAACTTTACAGTGTGGATTCAGATTCTCATACCCACAGCTGATCTACTGCTGGACTCCATCTGTCAGCCCTTAAAGCTTCTGAACTGCCCCCTAAAGGACGACGATCTATCTGCACACGTCACAGACCATTATTTATGATGAGGTGACAAGTCCACACCCCTTATACCAGTCACACTTTCATCACCCTTCCAGAAAGTTTTGCTTCTACTTACATCTTTGGCAGAGGAACCTGAGACCTCAATCCACGTTTTGGAGAAGAATGCACAGGAGCCCAGCATGAACACTATGTATACAACTGCATGGACCGGGTCTTCTAACACGGAGCCAAAAGATTCTGGAGGGGACAGGTAATAGCAAAGGCCACCAACTGGATAAGCACGTGCTGGGCCCCCAGAAGACGTGTCCTGGGGAAGAAGAAACCAAACGCATGTGAGTGCTCCTTCATTTTACTTTAGCATCAAGGCAAAAATAGTTCTGAGCAGATGAAAGAATGCAATTTTACTCGGTGCCCACAGTACAATTTTTTTACTGAAAAGATAATTTAATGTGCTGAATTTGTAAAAGGCACAATGGAAAATATCTTTGGATGAAATATCTGTTCATGAGCAAGACACTGATAGAAACCACTGCAACTTAGCTGCATTGCTAGCTCATCTTCAAAGAGCCTACTTACCGACCAGGTGCCCAGCAGGCTGACCAGCAAGTTGCCACTGAAGCGAGCTGAGAGCATTTGGGAGATGACATAAAGGTTGGACACCAGGGCAGACTGCAGGATGATGGGGATGTTGGACGTATAGAAGAGCTTGATGGGATAGGTGTTGTACTGGCCACGGTAGCGGGCCGACTTGATTGGCAGGTCCACTCGGAAGCCCTGAGAAGCCAAACAGAACCAAATCCCCTTCACTGCCTCATTTCAGCCTGCTGCACAGAAACACAGCCCGGCCGGGGACTGTCCAGTGGGCCACAAGGGAGGAAATCCTGTGTGCTGGTTCTGGGGCTCCCAGTTCCGAGAGCTTGTGCCCACTCCTTACCCACCACTGCACTCCTGCACTTGGCACATCCAGAAGGGGCCCAGAAAAGCTGGTTTAAAAATACACTGAAGGCTAGGCGTGGTGACTTACACCTGTAATCCCAGCACTTTGGGAGGCCGAGGTGGGAGAATTGCTTGAGCCCAGAAGTTCGATACCAGCCTGGGCAACACAGTCAGACTCCGTCTCTACAAAAAATAAACAAAACTGGCCGGGTGTGGTGGTGCGCGCCTGTAGTCCCAGCTACTCAGGAGGCTGAGGTGGGACAATCACTTGAGCCTGGGAGGTCTAGGCTGCAGTGAGCCGAGATCATGCCACTGCATTCCAGCCTAAGCAACACAACGAGACCCTGTCTCACACAAAACAAAACATGGAAGCAAGCACGGTGGAATGATCCCCACCCCCACTTTTTTTTTTTCCAAAAGACAGAGCCTATCACATTACATCCACATCTGTGTGGAATATGGAGAAAAGCCTGGAGGCCACACACCCAAATCCCAAGGGCGCTTCTCTCTAGCTGGTGATGTTTCCTAAGCTTTTACACTGGCTCTGAGGCAGGGCCACTACAGCAGTGGCCTCACACCTTATAATAGTTCCTTACAGTGTTTTTAATCATAAACAGAAAAGCTAAACTTTTCTAGGAATACAACTTCTCCCTCTGAAACCCCTGGAGACTAGAAAGGGTTTATTTTTATGAGCTCCCAGTACCTAGAACAGGGCTCGGAATACAGAGGATTTAAAAATTAAATACTTAAGGCCGGGTGCGGTGGCTCACGCCTGTAATCCCAGCGCTTTGTAATGTGGAGGCGGGCGGATCACGAGGTCAGGAGATCGAGACCATCCTGGCTAACACGGTGAAACCCTGTCTATACTAAAAATAAAAAAAAATTAGCCGGGCGTGGTGACAGGCACCTGTAATCCCATCTACTCGGGAGGCTGAGGCAGGAGAATCGCTTGAACCTGGGAGGCGGAGGTTGCAGTGAGTCGAGTCGAGATCGCGCCACTGCACTCCAGCCTGGGCAACAGAGCAAGACTCCGTCTCAAAAAAAAAAAAAAAAAAAAAATTCTTAATGATCTGACTGCAAATTCTGGCAAAGCCCCTAAAGAGATAGCTTTTTATTAAGCAAGAATGTGGCTTAGTCTCAGCAGAAGGAATGGGAAAAGCATGTAGCTCGTATAAATACCTTTCACAAACATCAAACTGCCTTTCATCTCTGTCCCTTCTTTTAAATAAACACCAAAATACAAAGTGGACCATCAAAAAATACAAAGATCAATCCAATTACAGGAAAACAATAGCAGTTCAGGTCTCTTACTCAGAAGCAAGTTTAAGAGATGGAATACTTTTAAAGGTAAGACAGCTTAAGAAGATAGGCCGTTTCCGAGATGCAGAAGTTACCTATAAATATCATACAAACTTTCTATAAGAGAGCAATGAGGTTTCAGAGCTAGAGTACTTTTTGCTTCTCTTGAACTAAGAACTTAAAAATGTATCTTACCTGTCGATAGGCCCAACCCAGAAGAACATGATTTCACTTACGTTAGAACTGCCTTAATTTTGTTTCGTTAATGGCAGGTCCCATGACTCAATGAACATGCTTGTCCAGCTCATCTGGAAACCTGCTGCCTTCAAATACCATCTCATCGTTTCAACACAATATGATGACAGTGCACCCCACAGAGTGGGGGACTGCACACAAGGCATTCTGAAACTTAAATCCAGACCATGGAAACTCCCTGGGGTTGGATCTGGACACACCTGGAAATAGATGACCACTGCAAAGACAAAGATGGTGGCGATGAGATTCATGAGGTTGGGAAGATTCTGGCGGTAGAACGCCTCCCGAAGGGCTCGGACCTTGTCTGTGCGTGTGGCCAGCAGATGGAAAAGTGCGATGATAGCACCTTCAAATTCCATTCCTGTTGGCAGAGGAGGAGACATATATGAAGGAACGAACAGGCAACTCAATTTGCTTCTAGCCTTCTTAGCAGACAAATAAAAAGAGGAAAACAAACTTAAGTTATTAGACTCATGGTGCCCATAGCCACAGGGATACAGCATGTATTATTCTCATCCCTCCCTTCTCTTCTGTAGAGAATTCAAACTACAGAAACGGGCTATTCTGGTTTGTTTTTGATTTTTTTTAGACAGGGTCCCTCTCTCTCGGCTGCCTAGGCTAGAGTGCAGTGGTGTGGTTGCAGCTCACTGCAGCCTCAACCTTCTCCTCCTGGGCTCAAGTGATCCTATCTCAGACTTCCGAATAGCTGGGACTATAGGCATGCTACCACGCCTGGCTAATTTTTTATTTTTTATTTTTGTACAGTTGGGGGTCTCACTATGTTACCCAGTCTGGTCTCGAACTCCTGACCTCAAGCAATCCTCCCGCCTCACCCTCCCAAAGTGTTGGGATTACAGGTGTGAGCCACAGCACCCAACCACTATTCCACTTTTTAAAATTAATTGGTCTCATTTCTTAGGCACATGAGTCAGTGGCCACCAGAGGTGTGGAACGATGATAATTTATAAAAATAAAAGCAGACTCTGCTGAACTCTAGCTGAAAGGGGTCATCCACTGAAGAGGGGGCTCAGAGCTGGCAAATCTACTTTCCTGGACAATCTTGAGAAGTACAAGTACCCATTCAACAGCTATGAAGTGCAGGCTGCCCTTGGCTGGTGAGTGGGGAGGCTCCAGCTCTCTGCTTCTCACACCAAGGATACAAGTACAGAGGATATGCTTGCGTCCACCATGTGGTCCCATCCAAATGACACCCTGCCAGGAGATGCTCCTGAGGGAGGCAGGCCTAGGGGTGGAGTGAGCTTACTGAGGGACTGAGGGATATAGGAAAGGGACCCAATCTAAGAACCAGACAACAGAGTAACAAGTGAGAGGAAGGCGGGGAGTGTGGTGCATTATTAAGGCCTAAGTTTTAGACATCAGCAAGAAATTTACTTACGTTAAAAAACTAAAAAGCGAAAAAAAGAAACAAGTGATAACCTCTGCCGTTCCAGGACAGCATAACCATCCCATAATGGAAGCCTGGCAACTCACGCTGCTTCTACTGGCAGGAAGCTGGCATTACTTCCAGAGACAGGGTCTCTGTGGGCAGTGTGGGGTCATGGTATCAGTACTCTGAGGAGCACTTTTAAAAAAGTCAAATAGGAGTCGGGCGTGGTGGCTCACGCCTGTAATCCCAGCACTTTGGGAGACTGACGCGGGCGGATCACAAGGTCAGGAGTTCAAGACCAGCCTGGCCAAGATGGTGAAACCCTGTCTCTACTAATAATACAAAAAAATTAGCCGAACATGGTGGCGGGCGCCTGTAATCCCATACTCAGGAGGCTGAGGCAGAGAACTGCTTGAACCCGGGAGGCGGAGGTTGCAGTGAGCCGAGATGGCGCCAATGCACTCCAGCCTGGGTGACAGAGCAAGACTCCGTCTCAACAACAACAAAAAGTCAAATAGGGACTGTATTTGATGGCCACTTTGGAGTACAATTAATTTTACATGACAGATTAAATAGGAAAGCTGAAACTGAAGGTCAGACTGTACTTAGAGGACCCATCTAGTACTGTGGAACTTGTCAAATGTGTCCATTCCCTTGTGCCTAACAGTGAAATAGAGTGAGATGTAAGAAATGAAGACACCCTACAAAAAGGAAAGCTTCTATTCAACCAAAATAACTTGGTAGCTGAGGGAATGGGAAGAGTAACCAAACTGATGGTATGTGGGGTTTGCCTTTTAAAAGCACATTAAATAAAAACTTGAGAAGGGATCACTTTAACCCAAAGGTAATAATTCTGTCCTCTGGACCCAGATCTGGATGGTGAGCCTAGAGAGGTGGCCCAAATCTGTAGTTCAGCTCAGGAGCCATCCAGACCCCAAGTGCCTGACATTGAGTTTCGGTGCTGCAGGTGTGACATCTCCAGATTGTGTCTCTGGATGCTGTCAGGAGTAGGTTCTGCTCCCTGATTTTCCTTTCATAGAACAAATCTTCCAACTTTCACTTTTACTCCTCCCATGACTAAAAAGCAAGTGAATCTAGGAAAAGGTGAAACTAAAGAACTCAAAAGCACTGTTCCCAAGTTTCTAACACGTGATAGCTAGGACCACCTGCTACATCTTCCTGGACCATTCCGAGATGACATGTCAGGCAGACCATCTAACCAATATGACCACTGACCTCCTCTGCTGTGGCTTCTGTGAAAGAGACACCATATCCTAACTGGCCATCATGTCCTCATCTCACCCTGTGGCGGTCTTTCGTCAATTCCCATCCTTTCCACCTTTTGGTCCTGTGTGACAAGGCTGGCCTGTTTCCCCACGGTTTCAAATTTGGGACTAATTCCCAGTTCTGCATTGTTCCTGCTGCCCAGGGAAGCAGCAGTGATTACTGTCTCTGCCTGTAGAATCTCATTCAACAGCCTCCCCTGTCCCAAGCCAAGCTGCAACATCTCCAGGCACAGCTGCAAAGCTGCCGTCCCAGCTGTGCCCTCTGTGTGGCTCTCCCTGCCCCTCCCTAGGCTCTCCCTCTAGCACCACTCACTGCCCACATGCAGGCCATGGGGCACAGCCCTTCCTGAATGCATCTCGTGTCAGCCAGGTCCCAAACACGAGCAACTGACATGTAGACACACTGACTTCAAGGCCAGACAAATCCACCTTTGCTTCTTAGTTTTCCCCCACCTTGAAAGTGCCTCTCTGGTCCCCTCTCTCAACTTGCTTCCTCCAAATGCCCTCACACAGTGCTCTCCTGTAGGATGGCTTAATTGGGGCTGGATTACTGCTGCACGCACCTAGCTGCTCTCTCTGCCTTTCAGTGCAGAGCAAATCACTTCTTCCAAACTCTGGCTCCCATTACTCAATGCCCTGCTGCAGAATGGAACATGAGCCTCTGGCGGCTACTACTGGGCTGCTAAGCCACCAGGGGCTCCCCTCTGACTTTACTTCCTTCCCACTCAGGCACTCCCCAAAAGCCAGTCACCATGATGGTCTTGACAAATACCTGAACTCCTACAATGCCATCCCCCTCTTGCCTTTTCACATCCTGTCAAACTTTGCCTTCTGGACCTGCTTCTCCCAATTTACCTTGGATTTCCTAAATTTATACAAAGTACTCAAGGAAGCATCAAATGTGATCTTGCCCACTCTTCTCTATGGCTCCCTATCTCAAGCTCCACTCTCCTTTGTAACCTGTTAGGCACATGCAGCCTTCACTTGTTTGGGGACCAGTTTTCCATCTCATTAATGAGATAATATGGTCTCTGGAGGCCAAGGACTCTGTTTCCAACATTCAATTAAAAGAAAACTCTCAAATATGCATGATTATTTCTCCTGGAATGCTCCTCAGTGAAGAAGATATTTAGTGCCAAAAAATGTTTATTTCCTTTCCCTAATAAGTCACACTCTCTAAGGCTTCCCTTGTATGTTTTGAACTTTTTATTAAAAACATGCTGTTACAAGATTTCCACGGCACTTGGTGGATGTAGCACAGCATGCCAATGTTTGATACACATCTACCAGGAGCCAGGCATCATGTAATTTCATGTTGCTTCTCACTGCATCCTGGTAACCAAGATTCAGTGGTGCAGGAATCTGCCCAAAGCCACGTATGTATGACTAACAGGAACAGCCAGGATTTGAACGCAGGTGCTAAGCTCCAAGTTCAGGCCTTTTTCAGAAAGCTGCCCCTTGCATGACCAAGTGCTTTGGTTTAGGAATTTCATTTTTAGAAACTTATTCACTGAGAGCAGCTGCCAAAATATACAAAGATGAACATATGAGGACAGTCATGGTTTCAATGTTAACGATAAAAAAACCTGGAAATGACTTAACGTTGCTTTATCGTTGCAATATAAGCTTATACTGTGCTAAGAAAAGTGAGGCAGGATTGTGTATTCTGACGTGCCAAACGTCCAGGAGATATTTTTATATGAAAAGTGCAAGTTAGGTATCATCATAATTACAAGCCTATTTGTGTTTTTAAAACTTTGCAGATGGACCCAAACACCAGAAGAGATAAACCTAAAACTGACATTATTTTTCTGTGGAATGGGGGGATTTTTGTCTTCTGCTTTGCATTGCTCAATTGTTTTTGCTGAAAGCTGTCGCCACCAGGGGAGCACAGGGCCCTTACCTCGGCCAGTGTTGACAGTAGTGGGGCTGAATGCCTTCCATACGATGGTTTCACAGATGTTAGTTGCAATGAAGAGAGAAATACCAGAGCCAAGGCCATATCCTTTTTGCAGGAGTTCATCCAAAAGTAGGACAATTAAGCCAGCAACAAAGAGCTGTAAAAATTCAAAAATACAAGACTATGTGTTACTGCTCCCCACGGACATGGTTCCGTCCTTCAGTAATTGGGTTCTCTGATATAAACGCTGAAGACGGAATGAGATCACATCCTCAGCCCCAGAGAGCGGTCAGTAAAGCCTTTCTCTGCTGAATTCAGAGGGCTAACCCAGAGTCTTAGGCTTCTGCTTCCTTTCAGTAGGAGTTCCTTTTAGGTGTGCTTGAGATTCGTTATGTGAGAATTGTAGGTAAGTGTGAGGGGCTACTCAAAGGGAGATGTTAGCATAATAATTACCTGAATGGTGATTAGCAGGCAAATTCCAGCACCCATTTCAGAAGGGTCCCCATACATCCCGGTCATCACATACACGATAGACTGGCCGATAGTAATGATCATGCCAAATACTAGAATTGAAAGAAAGAAGTGTTTTCCAAGTGGGTCACTACACAGAACAAAAGAAACAATTAAGAAACACCAATTCAACGCCAGGCACGGGGGAGAACAAAGATGAAGAGCAGTGATACTACCTCCAAGGGGCTCGGCTGAGAACGCGCTAAACCATCACATCAGCAAAGTACATGATGAATCAAAAGCCTTTTAACAAAAGCACACTTCTTCTTTAGTTTTACCTTTTCCTAGATTCACTTGCTTTTTAGTCATGGGAGGAGTAAAAGTGAAACTTGGAAAATTTGTTCTATTCAAAGAAAATCAGGGAGTAGAACCTACTCCTGACAGCATCCGGAGACACAATCTGGAGATGTCACACCTGCAGCACCCAAACTCAATGTCAGGCACTTGGGGTCTCGATGGCTCAAGAGCTGAACTACAGATTTGGGCCACCTCTCTAGGCTCACCATCCAGGTCTGGGTCCAGAGGACAGAATTATTAGCTCTGGGGTAAAGTGATCCCTTCTCAAGTTTTTATTTAATGTGCTTTTAAAAGGAAAACCCCACGTACCATTGATTTGGCTGCTCTTCCCATTCCCTTAGGTACCAAGCTATTTTGGTCTAATAGAAGCTTTCCTTTTTTTTTTTTTTGAGACGGAGTCTCTGTCGCCCAGGCTGGAGTACGGTGGCATGATCTTGGCTCACTGCAACCTCCACCTCCCAGGTTCAAGCGATTTTCCTGCCTCAGCCTCTGGAGTAGCTAGGATTACAGGCACGTGCCACCACAGCCAGCTAATTTTTTGTATTTTTAGTGTAGACAGGGTTTCACTGTGTTAGCCAGGATGGTCTCCAACTCCTGACCTCGTGATCCACCCACCTCAGCCTCCCAAAGTGCGGGGATTACAGACATGAGCCACGCCTGGCAAAAGCTTTCCTTTTTGTAGGGTGTCTTCATTTCTTACAACTCACTCTATTTCACTGTTAGGCACAAGGGAATGGACACATTTGACAAGTTCCACAGTACTAGATGGGTCCTCTAAGTACAGTCTGACCTTCAGTTTCAGCTTTCCTATTTAATCTGTCATGTAAAATTAATTTTACTCCAAAGTGGCCATCAAATACAGTCCCTATTTGACTTTTTAAAAAGTGCTCCACAACAATTAGTTCTTAATGCAGGAAAACATTCAAAACATTGTGAAGACCAAAGAGAAAACAGCCAATTTGTGCTTGTACTTTTTTTGTTTTCTTAGTGTTTTTTGTTTTGTTTTAAGAGACAGGCTCTGTTGCCCGGGCAGGAGTGCAGTGGTGCACTAGCAGCCTCAAACTCCTGGGCTTAAGTGATCCTCCCACCTCAGCCTCCCTAGTAGCTAGAACTACAGGTGCATCACCACACTTGGCTAATTTGTTGTTGTTGTTTTGTAGAGATGGGGTCTCTCTCACTGTGTTACCCAGGCTAGTCACGAACTCCTGGCCTCAAGCAATCATCCTGCCTTGGCCTCCCAAAGTGCTGGGATACAAGTATGAGCCACCGCTCCCAGCCACATGTGTGTATTTTAGAATCCTAATTTTTATCTAAAACTGACAAGTTTAAATAGATGTATTTCTTGGCTGGGCGCTGTGGCTCACGCCTGTAATCCCAGCACTTTGGGAGCCTGAGGCGGGCGGATCACGAAGTCAGGAGATCGAGACTGAGACCATCCTGACTAACACAGTGAAACCCCGTCTTTACTAAAAATACAAAAAATTAGCTGGGCGTGGTGGCGGGCACCTGTAGTCCCAGCTACTTGGGAGGCTGAGGCAGGAGAATGGCTTGAACCCAGGAAGCGGAGCTTGCAGTGAACCAAGATCACGCCACTGCACTCCAGCCTGGGCGACAGAGTGAGACTCCGTCTCAAAAAAAAAAAAAAAAAAAAAAAAATAGACGTATTTCTCATTCAATTATCCACCATACTAATTTAAGACCTGTAAAACATGCTGGTGTAGGCGAAAAGATGACTGGATAGGAGACTGTAAATATCATTTCCTAATTAATGTTTTTCAGCAAACAGAGGCTAAATATGGCTAATTTTGATGACTAGTAATTGTTACTAGTAACACTTATTAGATATGAGGCAAATACCATTATTATCCCCATTTTTACAGATGAAGAAAGTGAAACATAAGAGCTATCATCTAACTTTTCCCCAGATCACAGAGCTGGTAAATTATACAGCTGGACTGACAGGATCACCTTTTCTTCAGTTAAATTCTTTTTTTTTTTTGAGAGAAGTCTTGCTCTGTCCCCCATGTTTGAGTGCAATGGCTTTATCTCGGCTCACTGCAACCTCTGCCTCCTGGGTTCAAACAATTCTCCTGCCTCTGCCTCTCAAGTAGCTGGGATTAAGGCACCTTGTCACCACGCCTGGCTAATTTTTGTATTTTTTTAGTAGAGATGGGGTTTCACCATGTTGGCCAGGTTGGTCTCAAACTCCTGACCTCAGATGATCCGCCCGCCTCAGCCTCCCAAAGTGCTGGGGGTTACAGGCGTGAGCCACCGCCCCCCAGTCAGTTAAATTCTTTTATAAAACACTTGCCAAATAACTACTATGTGCCAGGCATTGTGACAGTGATTATTTAATCCTTATGACAGCTCTGAAGTAGCCATTACTTCCTTTTAAGCAATAATGAAATGGTGGCCAAGGGTGCTAAGACCTCCAAGCTCTGATCCTTCTCCTCCATTACATGGCCTCAGGGGCACTCCAGACACTCTCCCCTGCCTTGCCCAGCCCATCCCCAGCACCCACCACCTCTGCTCTACCAGAAGTGCTCTCTCACGCTAACACAGGGCATGGAGCTCCTGCAGGGTTGGCAGGCCAAGGAGGTTGCAGCACAAAAGAAAATACTGTTTGGGCTGGGCATGGTGGCTCACGCCTATAATCCCAGCACTTTGGGAGGCCGAGGCGGGTGGATCACAAGATCAGGAGTTCAAGACCAGCATGGCCTATGTAGTGAAATCCCGTCTCCACTAAAAATACAAAAATTAGCTGGGTGTGGTGGCACGTGCCTGTAATCCCAGCTACTCGGGAAGCTGAGGCAGAATTGCTTGAACCTGGGAGGTGGAGGTTGCAGTGAGCCAAGACTGCGTCACTGCACTCCAGCCTGGGCAACAGAGTAAGACTCCATCTCAAAAAAAAAAAAAAAAATAAAAAATAAATAAAAAAAGAAAAACTGATACCAAAATCTTATAGCAAATTCAAATTTTCCAACTATAGACATCAGATTATTCACAATCTTTCTTACACTTTTGGGCTCCGTTGAAGAGAGCTCGGTCTTTTGGGGTGTCACCAACTTCAATTATCTTGGCGCCAGCCAAGAGTTGCATTATAAGGCCAGACGTGACAATAGGAGAGATCCCTAGCTCCATCAATGTGCCTTGAGGAAACGGGGAAGCAAAACAGTCAATATCAGCTTGGAAACGTAGTACGTTATTTTAAAAATGAATACGCAAAATTTGACTGGGTACCCCTTATATAAAACCAATGTGTTTCAGTTTCCTAGCTGTGTTTAATTTAGAACCCCAAAATATCAACGATTAGTATATAATTCAATTCATTCTGTTCAGCCTGCCAGGCAACAGCTTATTCTGTTTAGGAAGTCACATGGTGTCTAAACAGACTGCTGCATTTAAATTCACCATAAACAGATTCATTCTGGTTTTAGAGATAAGAAATGTTCGTCTCTTCATCAGTTAATAAAAAAAGGATAACATTCAAATAATTTCCAGAGTCTGGAAAAGGAGCCTGTACAATTGTATCTAGTTGTGAATAAGCCTCTACTTCCCATTATGTTAAAATGAGCTACACTTCCAACTGATTTGGAATTTAATTGAACTATATTTTTTAAATGAGTTAATCAAATGCAGTATCAACCTACACATTCAGAATCCTCCCCAGTCCCATAAGTAACTGGTTAGAGGATATAAAACACTGTTACATATTTTTTGACACTATATGTAACCTATAGATATGAAAAAGATACAGCTGAAAAACAAATTACATATTCTGAAGAATGTTATCAATGGAAATGTCATCATTTCAGGTATTCAAAAAGTATTCTAGTTTTTCCATGTTTTTTATTCTCTCTATAGCATAGACTTATCTTCTCATTACAGGTTTTGTACTGCATTCAAATACAATTCCAAATATGATGGTATGCCTTGGTGCTGAACTCAGCATTTAATAAGGCTATTCAACACAGCACTTTAACATTCTTCACTCTATTTTCCAAGTCACTCTCTAAGTTCCATATAAAGCCAAAGCCTATTAATTTAACTAAGTGAAGCTAGGTAAGCCTACACTCTACAGAGAAAAGACAGAGCCAGAGTCCTACCTCTGTTAGAGGCTAGAATCACTCTCATCCAATAGAAAGGGTCAGCTGAATCTGAAGACATGATCCCAAACAGGGGAATCTGGGAACAGGCAAAGAGCAAAACAGTCAGCACTCCTGTTTCCAGCCACTCTTATCCCCCTCCCCAATACGAAATACAAGCCTGAGCTTACCTGGCAGCACACTAAGAAGATAAAGAGGGTGATAGCGGTCCACAGCACTTTCTCCTTAAACTGAATCTAGAGTAGGAGAGAATGAATTGAAGCAGGGAGTTACTTTGAAAAGCAAATTAATAAAAATGGACTCCAATCAGACCCCTTTCTCTAAAAATGGACTCCAACCAGACTCTTTTCTCTGTTCAGCAGAGAAGCCAAACCATGTACCAAACATAAGTACCATGTACTGCGTAACTTCCTCTGCACAGAGCACAATGCAAGGACCTACAGGCATCACCCCAGCTCACCTCACACCACAGAGCATTACCTTTATTTTACAACTGAGCCTTAGAAGAGCTAAATAATTTGTACCAAACCCCAATGCTAAAGTGAGTTTGAGTCCCAAACTGTGCTTTTAACCATTAGCATTAACAGTTAAGACTCAAGAACAAAGAATGTCACAATAGAACATGACTTGTAAAACACACGAGCAACCACTTTTCATTTGAGTTTCAGTCACAAAACCTTGTTATTCTAGAGTCAAGTAATTTGGAATTGCTCAATAGTGTATTTTCTATGAATTAAGGGTAAAACAGTGTAATAAACCATATTGGGGAAGGGCAGGAGAGTTGCATGTTTAACCTACTAGTAACATTTGTTTAAGGATTTTCACATCTTCTCAGGTACATAGGTTGCATAGGTGACAAGAATCACTGTAAAGATGACTATTAAGTATTAAGTATCATTAGAAAACCTCCCACCCAAAACCTCTGTCACTAAAGAGTAGAGTGGGAACTCTTCCAGGTTTTCTGCCTCTGAAACTGAGTGTCTTCACTAATACCTGCTGCCTACACTACATTAATGGCTTTAGAGGGCTTAACAAACATTAATTATTGTACAGACGGAAGATTCTGAGGTTGAAATACCTTGTGAGAGACTGACAGTATTAAGTGACAAAACTGTGTTCTTTAAAAACACTTCTAGGCAGGCACTGAGTCAGCATTCCTGGCCCTCTGGCCAGAACTGGAGTCACAGTCCTCTAACTATACATGCAGGCAAAGTAGGACACAGTCATACGGCCACACAACAGTGGGTGAATCAGTGTTCAGATACTCCATCCAAAGCTGGGGGCATTCACAGGACTCTTCTTCTCTTGAGAATGGTCCTCTTCCCACCTACCATCCCACCACACTAAGAAATTAGAAAGTGGCCAAGAGAAGGCAACGCCATTTCAGAGTAACCTGTCTGAAATGAATCTTGATGGGAAACAAAGAGCAGACAATTTTTTCAAAACTCCCTTTCTAATCACCAAGTCCTCTCTCCTGGTTACAATCAAATTTAACATCAAAACCCCAAAAGCTCTTTATCCAAGTCCTGTCTCCTCTGCTTCTTAGTAGCCCCTAAATCCATTCTTGCTCAGTACCACAGTTCATCCTCTGATGTGAAAAGCCTCTAAACCAACTCTAGTCCTCTCCTTTTCTTCCAAAGTGACATTCTCATGTCTGGCCCTTGTTATTCATCTCCTAATGTTCCCCACCTACAATTATGTTCTATCAATAGCAACTACATCTAATAACCTCCCATCCAAACATGCTACACTCTTGTCACCAATGCCTTTGCAAACTATATACTCCTTTTATTTGGAATTCCTTTCCGTCCCTTCAAGGAGACTTCTATTTCTCCTTCAAAACCACCATAAGACATCATGTCTCCCAGAGTTAATCCCTTCCTGAGCCACTGCTATACCTTGCACGTATTTCCCTTGTTCCGTCTACCACACTGAGTTACAAGGCCAAGGTCACATAGCTATTAAGGTGCTATGTAAAGGGTGGGACCTAGGCTTGCCTGCCTCCAGAGCCATGCCCCTTCGCTACACTGGAATTGAGGGGGTAAAGCTTTACAAATTCGTCCATTAAAAGCAGCACATGGGCATTTATATGAAACTATTTTACGTAAAAAAATGAAAGTGGATTCCAAGCACCCAAGTGTCCATGTGAATGCTTTAACAACAGTTTGAAAAATAATGTGAGGACACAAACATTTTATTCCCCACTCTCTAACCTAGGAACCTAATGAAACTTTTTTTCGTTGACAGCTGTAGTTACACTGGCAACACTCACTCCACACAATTTCTGATTCAGCACAGCTCTAAATTTAATCTTTCCTTGTTTTAATACACCGTCTGTGAAAAGCAGCAGACTTCACAAAAGAATAGCCTTTATTCCCCCTATTGTGACAGCCTACATAAAAGGTACAAAATCATTTGTAAATACTAAAGTGACAGCCCTTCCCTTTAGCAGCTGGATACAAAGGGCATCTCCTGGGAAAAAAAACCAACCCGTGATCTGCTCCCGTTGGAGGTGAAAAAGGGAGGGTAACTCAATCTGCTATCCTAACTGAGGCCTTATTCATTCATGGCCCGGATCCATTTTTGGGACAGGGCAACCGGAGGCTTTGTTCTCGGAGCAACATCCACCAAAGATGCTCCAAATAAAGCACAGTGATTTCAGTGGAAATTTCCACACAACCAGGTCACCTTTCGACAGCTCTCCGGAATAACAGAGCACAACTACACTCCAAGGGAAGAGAAGGGAGAGTTTCCATTGCCGTGCTGAAGCCATTTTTAATCATACTGTAAACTTCCAGAGTCCAGACAGTTTCCTGAAACCTTCTTTGTTGGCGATTTGGGGTACTTACCTTCCTCTCTGGCTTCTGAATTTCCGGCAGGATGACACAGAAGGGCTTGATGACTTCCAGAAATTTGACTTTGATGGGAGAAACAAAACAGGAAGAGTTGGGACACAGAGAAGTAACCTTCCGCGCTACCCAGGGACGCCTTCTGCCCACGACGAGTGAGAGCAGGGGCCAGGGGAGCCGGCCGCACCCCGGACGCGTGGGGATACTCGAGAAGGGCCGGGGGCACGGGCCGCGTTCTGCAGGGGGCCGGTCAGGGTTGGCCGGCGGGCGCCCGACCGCACGGGTGTGGGGAAGGGGGATCTGTTCCGTCCCGGCCTCAATAGGGCTTCCCTACAGGACTCACTTGCCATGGCGGCGGCTGCTCGGGCTCCGGGTCCCGCTTCAGCTCAGCTCTGCTCCGCGTGAGGCGACGCTGCCCGCGGCCCAGCGCGTTCCACTGCACAGCAGCTCCGCCGAGAGACACGTCAGTGCTAGCCCGGCGGCAAGCGGCGCGGCGCGGCGCGGGGCGGGGCCGGGGCCGGGCCTCGGATCGCTTCCGCTTCCTGCCACGCGCGCCCGCCGGCCGCCGCGCTTCGCCGCGCCGCGCCGCTTCGCCGAGACCTCAAGCCCCGGCATGCAGCGGGGCTCCTGGGGCCTGTCGGGAAGGGGCCTGGCGCGCGGGGCCCGCCGGGACTGGGGGTGTGCGGCTGCGCAGACTTGGTAACGCGAGAGCGCGCGGGGAGGGTGTGTCACGCCTCCCGAGACTGGGGCTGTGCGGCCTCACGGAGAAACTGAGGCAGGCGCGAAGCGTCGAGTGCGCGCGTGGCCCTGCAGGCAGGCGGAGACCCTGGTGGCTCCCATACACGTAACAGCACTCACTGCTCTTTGACGTTAGTGAATAGACCGTAAGCTCCCTGGAGCAGGGACCTTATCCCAGCGTCTACCGCGGCGCCCGTCACCTAGTAGGTCTCCGTCATTACCTGCTGAGTAGGGCGCGGGCTGGTGGGGCTTACCGAGCACCCTCGCTGTCTGAGTCATTAAGCAAACCCGGAGGCTTGTCGTGGGTGTGGGTCCCCTTCCATCTGAGAACGAATGGGATGAGTTTCTGGAGAGACTTGGCCGGAGAAGGGCCGGGGCAGCTCGGGAAGTAGTCTGCCTCACAGAAGAATTCAGGAAGGCCTCCTGGGAGAGTACCTTTGTGCCGAGCCTTGATAGATTCTGGCGAGAAGGAATGAGGGAACAGGTTGAGGAGACTGTTGTGGGCAAAGCATGGCGGTGTGATTGCCTAAGATCGGTGTGGGAAAGGGGGATAACGGGTAGGGCAAGGGATGCTGGGGCTGGGGGTTGGAATTTACTTTCAGGCATCTGTAGTCAGTAGGTATGATGTCATCTAAGAGAAACAGACTTAATGCTGTGAGCATTTAGCAGGGAGGAGGTGGGCACGCCTTGTGGGATCAGGCAAGGTTTCATGGAGCTAAACCTTGACCAGGACAGGTAGAAGTTGAGGGTACATATGTGGCAAGATGCTTTTTTGCTTTTAATTTAGGTGTCAACTATTTGGATTTTTCCATTCTCACCCATTTCTAGCAGATAATCAGGTTTTGTACATTCTTGGCTCAGAAAGTTGGACAGGACAGGAAGTCTTTTTTGGAATACAAACCCACTGGTGGAAAATTCAAAGGACTACTGGGAACAGGCAGGTAACTTCAGTGAAGTGGTCTAGGTGTGACATCACTTGATATCCATCCCCCACCAAAAAGGGGAAAAAGAAGACATTGACTCTTTATTCAGAGTCTGAAATGCAACCCATCTTCACTTCCAGGACCCACTGATGATCTCTTCTGGAGTTTTGGCCTGAAGCTAAAACTGGCAGCCCCTGGACTAAGTTCAGCATATAGACTAGATCCGATATTTAGCCATTATGCACCCTGCACCATATTGATGGTTAAAATGTTGAAATATTTCGAGGGTAAATAGTATAGTAATTACAATAAATATTACAATTAGTTAATAGAAATTTTAATATAAACTCATTGGTTTGTGCTAATAGTTGTAGGATGTCAGTACCATTGATAACAGGCCTCCTGTTGTTTCCACATTATGACACAATCTGGCCTGTGTCACTGCAGGGACTGCAGCCAAGTTACGTGTGTTAAATCACTGATTGCTTTAGGAGAATCACTAGTTTAAAATATTTTTATTGGACTGGGTGCAGTGGCTCACACCAGTAATCCCAGCACTTCGGGAGGCCAAGGCAAGAGGATCACTTGAGCCCAGGAGTGCAAGACCAGCCTGGGCAACATGGCAAAACCCTGTCTCTAGAAAAAAATACAGAAAAAAATTAGCTAGGCATGGTGGCGCATGCCTGTAGTCCCAGCTACTGGAAAGGCTGAGGTGGGAGGATCCCTTGAGCCTGGGAGGTCGAGGCTGCAGTGAGCTGAGATCTCACCACTGCACTTCAGCCTGGGTGACGACAGAGTGAGACTCTGTCTCAAAAAATAATAAAATATTTCTATTGTAAGCACATACATTAATTCTTCGGAAAATAGGTATGCAGTGTTTTATATTTATACATTTAAGATTTTATTATAGGATATTAGAAACATCCACCTAGAATGAAAGAGACCACAAAAATCTGGATGAATTTTCAATACTTTTAAGTATGATAAATGTAAATCTTGATATCTGCAGAAGAATAAACAAGAAATTTGTAATAATAATGAATCCCCGCCTGGAACTTCTTTTGATACTGTTTAAGAATCAGCACAAAATAAAATTTATAATTTATAAGATAAACTTTATTACATAAAATCTATAGTTTTGTAGTGAAAAAATAATTTTTTTCAACCAAAAATTTGACATTGCTAGTGACAGAAATGTTGGGTACTGAGTGCTCAGAAGTTCTATTGTTAAAAGATCAAAGTGTTAAACATATATTCATCAGAATGCTCTTAAAGCTTGTGCAAGTGAAGAAAAATTGTGATTATCGATGAGAAAAGAACTTAAAAGAATATAATCAGTTTCATAAATTAAGTATTTGAAAACTTAGAACTCCCAAAAAGGTTATCAGAGTGAGGATAAAGCAATCAAAAAGATTTAGGGCCAAGCTTGGTGGCTCATGAAATCCCAGCACTTTGGGAAGCCAAGGTGGGCAGATCACTTGAGGCCAGGAGTTCGAGACCAGCCTGGCCAACATGGTGAAATCTCGCCTCTACTAAAAATAAAAAATTAGCTGAGCATGGTGGTGCGTGCCTGTAGTCCCAACTACTCAGGAGGCTGAGACATGAGAATGGCTAGAACCCTGGGGGGTGGAGGTTGCAGTAAACCGAGATCTCATCACTGCACTCCAGCCTGGGCAACAGAGCGAGACTCTGTCTCAAAAAAAAAAAAAAAAAAAAAAAAAGATTTAGAAGGTACTGTCAGAATTTTTAGCACTATTATATAGTTAAGTATAATTGAGCATTTCACACACATTTACTAGAACTTCAAAAGGATTAATATTGATATGAACACGCCATTGTATTCTGGACCCACCTGTTAAAAACCAGATGTACCCAAATGAGAAAACAGCTTTTTGAAAAATATGTAAATCAAAGAGGTGTATTTAAAATCATCATCTAAGAAGCTTCATTTTTTTATGTGAATGTGTTTTAATAATTAAAATGCAAATTTAAAGGTTTTTGAATATAATGGTTTTTGTTGATCTTATGACACTGGGAAACATTTAGTACACTGTATTGTCTTTATTATGAGTACACAAGAAAGAATTACATTTGAGATATAGTTCCATAAAGATGTAATTGGAATATTGTACCAAATAAGAAAATTGTCATTGGATTTTATACAAAAAATGCTAATGTAATTCTAGAGAGAGTATGGAGTTTCAGCCAAAAGTTTAGGAAAAATGTGGATGTTTTAATTTGGCACTAAATTATCAAATTTAATTTTGGATAAACCAATACAAGTCAGGGAACTCATGCTTTTCTTGATAAACTATATTTACTACCACACACCAAGTAGCAGAAATAACTACATTAAGTAATGCAAATTGAACCTTGATGGACAAGCCTGCAGTGCTAGATCTGCAAAAGCAATGTGGAAGTCGGTAAGTTCTGCATTCAAATGCTCTACCCCTGAGCTATATACCCGCTGTGGTGGAAGTCAGTAAGTTCTGTATGTTCACTGTAATGGAAACAAATGCAGTGGCTGTTTGAAAAATATATTTTAAAGAGTTTGGGCCTTAATAAATGATATTTTAATGGAGATGTCAGTATTTAGAGTTTTTTTGTTTTGTTTTGAGATGAAGTCTCGCTCTGTTGCCCAGGCTGGAGTGCAGTGGCGCGATCTCAGCTCACTGCAACCTCCATCTCCTGAGTTTAAGTGATTCTCCTGCCTCAGCCTTCCAAGTAGCTGGAATTACAGGCGTGCGCCACCACACCTGGCTAATTTTTGTATTTTTAGTAGAGATGGAGTTTTGCCATGTTGGCCAGGCTGGTCTCAAACTTCTGACCTCAAGTGATCTGCCCACTTCTGCCTCCCAAAGTGCTGGGATTATAGGCGTGAGCCACCGTGCCCAGCAGTATTTATTTTAGCTTTATAAGAAAACATATTTTAGCTATTAGAGCTGACATTATTTCAATAAACTGTAAAGCAGTTGGACATATGTAAACAAAGGGAAGTTTGAAACAAGTGGAAGTTATTATGGATAAGAAAAAATAGGTATCCTGTTTGAAAAAAAAAGTGAAGTATCAATTCCAAGAGAAAAATTATTGGCTTTTCTAATAAATCAATGTATTTGGTGACAAAAGTGAAAAATGTAATAAACTTTTAAGCCCTTTCAATTTTTTGAATCTTGAAATAAAGCCCCCTGGTTTGTGAAGCTCCGTGAATTGAGAGTGAACAGAACATAGTGAATAAGCCAGTAAGTTAAAAGATATTTCAATAAGTGATTTGTGTGACTTAGTCAATAACAGATATTGAATCAGTTCTGTATGTTCTTAGACTTTATTATAGTCTATAAAATGTTTAAATTTAATTGCTATTAATAAGAAACTGAGGATTCAACACTAAAAACAGTATCATTGATGTTAAGGAAATTCTCTGCTTAATTCATTTAATGATTATCCATTTAATGAGGAAGTTGTTGGAACAATTTGATGTTGCTTCCTATGTCAAATCATCACTCCATACAGGGGCAAAATCTAGTGACAACTGTATCAAAAGATTCATAACTTCCAAAAACCAAGAAATGATTTAGACATACTAGAAAGATCTGTCAAATTATTTTTGCTGCAAGTTACATTGTCATTTTATGATATTTATTTAGAAATAGGAGATATGTTTTTAAATTTTTGATTTACATATTGACCAGTTCAAGATGACTTCTTGTTTTGTTTGTAAAATCTAGAGAGATCACATAAAACATAAAATCTAGATTTTTTACTTCTCTTGGAAGATCAGAAGACCCGACAGCACTAGGCTAATATTCCTACATGCCAGAAATCAGTAAGTTGTGGCTGCTTTTTTAAGATTGGTCAGCAGCTCTTTGGCTCCCCACAGTTACCACTTGTCCCTTGCCTCTTGCCTGGTCTCTAAGCATTTGAATTTGTGGCCTCTGCTGTAGTTTTAAGCCTGGGTTCTTGGCAGGATGGGGGTGTCATTTATTTCATTTACCTAAATAAGGAAATCGAGAACAGGTTGCCTACTTACCCCCATGGTGAGTGTGTGTGTGTGTGTTTGTGTGTGTGTGTGAGAGAGAGGAAAGTGAATTTTATTTTAAACATGCAGAGTTTGAGGTACTGGAAATTGATCAATGAGAAGTCCAATAAGCAGACCTGGTGCTCAGAAATGAGTTAGGATTAGAAGCATGTTAAGTCGTTTTCCATGAGAGTGGATGAGATTTCTAAGGGAGAAAGCATAGAGAGACCAGATTCAAGGAGAGACCCAGTGGGAGAGGGGGTCAACCATATTTAAGGGTGGGAAGGAGGAGGAACAGCCAGGTAACAAGACAATCCGATATAATAATTAGGTTGGGGAAGACAGCGGGTTGGGGGAGCTGGTTATTCTTTTGGCCAGTTGGTGTGTTGGTTAGGATATAAATCCGGCTGTTAGCTGGGCACGGTGGCTCACGCCTGTAACCCCAGCATTTTGGGAGGCTGAAGCGGGCAGATATGAGGTCAGAGTTGGAGACCAAAAATTAGCCGGGCGTGGTGGCACGCACTTGTAATCCCAGCTACTCAGGAGGCTGAGGCAGGAGAATCGCTTGAACCTGGGAGGCAGAGGTTGCAGCGAGCCAAGATTGCGCCACTGCACTCCAGCCTGGGCAACAGCGCGAGACTCCATCTCAAAAAAAAAAAAAAAAAAAAAAAAAAAATTAGCCGTTGCTGCAGATTAAAAAAAAAAAACAAAAAAAACAAATCAGTATCATAAACCAGATGGAAGTCCAGGTAGCAGTATAGGTCTGAAGCTTGCTCTCTCTTATTTCTCCACTCCCTTTTGGGTGGTGCTGTGGCCCACAAAATCCAGTATGGCCCATCATTGTGTCTATATTTTGGCCATTTGGAAGATGAAAGAAAAGGGAGAGGTGGGACTGCCCTTCTGTTAATGCACAACCTGGAAGTTGGACACATTGCATCTATTCTATTCCTTTGGCTATAACCTAGTTGCACTTATCTGAAAAGGAGTTTGAAAAATCTAGTCTTTATCCTGTAAAGTCATGGGCTGGCTACTGCCATGGAACAAGGGGAGAATGGGTATTGGGAGACAGCTCTCAGTCTGTCTAACAGGTGGTGAAGAGAAAGTGGGACTTGAGAAGGAGAAAGGGGAGGGAATATGGTAAATTTCTGGGATTGGACAGAGATAGCTCCCTATGGCTAAAACAAAGAGTAAGGCTAGCAATAAAGCTATCATTGGAGAAGCTAGGCTTCATTACAGTTGTTAATATCTAGCAAATGCATGACGAGCTAGACAGATGAAGGAAAATGGTGCCCTTCAGAGATAGAGGCCTTCCAGATTTCTGAGATAGAAGCTCTCCAGGAGGAAAAAAAGAAAAGGAAGCCAGGCAGGCCTGACTCCCAGGGAAGAATTCAGGAGGCTTTTCCCATTCTGGAGATCAGAGAATACCCAAGAAACATCCAGGGCATGGCAGATTGTGTCAGTCAGGGTTCTACCACAGAAACAGAACCAGTAGTAGGAGATGCATACAGTCGACCCTTGGTATCCGTGGGATGTTGGTTCCAGGACCCCCCAACCCTAGCATCCCCACCCTCTGCAGATATCAAAATCTGTGGATGCTCAAGTCCCTGATATAAAATGGTGTAGTATTTGGTTATAACTTACACACATCCTCTTGTATATTTTAAATGATCTCTACATTACTTACATCTAACAATGTAAATGCTATATAAATAGCTCTTTGTATTTATGTTTTATTTTTCATTGTTTTTTAAAAAACTTTTTTTTTCTTTGAGACAGAGTCTTGCTCTGCTCAGGCTGGGGTGCAGTGGCATGATCTCAGCTCACTGCAGTCTCCACCTCCCAGGTTCAAGCAATTGTCCTGACTCAGCCTCCCAAGTAGCTGGGATTACAGGCACCCACCACCACGCCCAGCTAATTTTTGTATTTTTAGTAGAGACGAGGTTTCACCGTGTTGGCCAGGCTGGTCTTGAACTTGTGACCTCAGGTGATCCTCCTGCCTGGGCCTCCCAAAGTGCTGAGATTACAGGCGTGAGCCACCCTTCCCAGCCTAAAAAATATTTTCAAACTATGGTTGGCCGAATCTGCAGATGCAGCACAGATATGGAGGGCCGGCGGTATATATATCAGAGAGATATATATGGTAGAGAAATAGAAAGAGAGAGAAAAATAGGTGTATTTCAAGGAATTGACATAATATGATTGTGAAGTCTGGTTGGGTGTATCTGAAATTTCATGCAGTAGGGCCGACAGTCCGGGAAATTGGGCAGGAGCTGATGAGGTGCCCACAGGAAGAATTTCTTCTCCTTCAGGGAAACCTCCATTTTCTAAGGCCTTTCAGCTGATTGGATGTGGTCCACCCATGTTATTGAAGATAATATTTTTTAAGGTAATTGACATCTACAAAAATATCTTCAAGGCAACACCTAAGTTAGTGTTTGACTGAATAACTGGTTACTCTAGCCTAGCCAATTCGATACAAAACTAACCATTACTTATTTGCTTAACCCAAATACAAAAACCTGTGGCACAGGGTGTTAATGTGAGAATTACACCAGATACTCATCCAGGTATTAGGTTTTGGATCTGAGAGAGACTGAACAATTTGTATTTTTTCCTTTTCTGTGCTGGAAACTGATCTGTTTTTTTTCAGTGCTGTTTTCATTACCTCTCTGATCTTCTTAATGAGGTTAAAAGTACAGAAAAGTTTAAAGATTAATAAGATGAACACTGTATTCCCACCACACAGGATTAACAATAGTGAACAGATCATCTGTAGACAATGCTTGGTGGTTATGTGGATTTAAGAACTGCCTGCATTAATTTTGTAACTCCTCTTTCAATTGTACATGACAAAAGAATTACTTCGAACACGCTTGAGAAAAAATATACTGGAATTTTTTGGCTCCTGTAACTGAAAAGTCAAAGGGTAGATCTAGCTTTAGGCAAAGATGGATTTAGGCAAGGCTCAAAAACTGTTGTCAGACTCAGTTTCTCCATATCTCTTTGCTTTCTTTCATATTCAGGCTTCCTCCTTGGAGGGACCTCAGAAGTCCCAGGCTTCATAGTGTCAAGTTCAACAGAAAGAGTAGTTTTCATCTTTCCACAGTTCTTAGAAAAGTCCTGAGACTGAGTTTTACTGGGTAAGTGTTCACCCCTGAACCATCTCTGTGACTGTATAAAATAGAATGAACTTGCCAGGCCTGAGACTAGCCTTACCCAAATCACACGGATTGAGAATGTGGGAGGGGTGGCTCTATCATGGAAAATTGATGTGCTGTTTCCATAAGAAGGAGGAATACATGCTGGTGATAGTGACAGGAGGCAGCCAAATGCCCAGGCAGATAGGGGCAGGTACCCAGTGAAACCTCACCTCCAAGCCAAAGACAGTTGAAGGACTGAAAGCCAAGTTACAAGTTAAATCCTTGGACTGGATTGAGAACTTGTCTTTCTTTTTGGCATACTTTCCTCTGATTGATCAGCATCCTTCACCTATTTTACACATACCTACCCTTTCCTAATTGGTTTTTTACACTGTCGTGCCTACATTTGAGTGATGTCTTCGCTTTAACCTTTTTTTGCATACTCACAAACCAATCAGCCTGCACTCCCCATCCTGTGCCTATAAAGACCTAAGACTCAGTTGGTAGAGATGAGATAGCCTGACTTCGGGCAAGACAACCTGCCCTTCCTTTCCCCTCTCCAGCTCCCTTCTCTGCTGAGAGCTGTTTCCATCGCTCAATTAAATTCTCCACCTTCACCATCCTTCAATTGTCCACCTGACCTCATTCTTCTTGGATGCCAGATAAGAGCTCGGGACCCACCAAGTGCCAGTACCCAGAAAGGCTATCACACCAGCCCTTTGCCCTCTCCAGTGGAAGGCAGCTGCTCCACACAATGAGACAAGGGGCTAACTGAGCTACCACACCCCCGTCCATGGATGGCAAAACTAAAGGAGCACTGTAATGCCCCCTCTTGGGCTTCGGGGTCACAGGCACCCTCACCTGGGCACTGCCGTGTTCCCCTTGAGATGACACGCCTGGTCAGGCTGTGGCCTCACATAGAGCTTGCTCCTGTGTTGGTGCCTGGAGCATCTGGCCAGGACCCACACTCGCTCACTCATGTGGTCCCTCCCACAAGGGGTTGGTTGAGTGGGGTCAGCCAAGTAGAGGGGGTGCCCCTTCCGCAAGTCCAGCAGAGGGGCTGAGAAAAATCCTGCATCACTGGGTGAGCATACATTCCCACCATTGTGGGAACAGTAATGGATTTGGAGTCCAGCTGACTCACAATCCTTTCTGGCTTGAATATTTAATGGTGACATAACTTTACTCATTTAAAATCTCTGTATCTTAGGCCAGGTGTGGTGGCTTATGCCTGTAATCCTAGCTCTTTGGGAGGCTGAGGCAGGTGAATCATGAGGTCAGGAGTTCGAGACCAGTTTGGCCAACATGGTGAAACCCCATCTCTACTAAAAATACAAAAATTAGCCAGGTGTGGTGGCACACGCCTGTAATCCCAGCTACTCAGGAGGCTGAGGCAGGAGAACCGCTTGAACCCGGGAGGCAGAGGTTGCAGTGAGCTGAGATCATACCACTGCACTCCAGCCTGGGCGACAGAGCAAGACTCCGTCTCAAAAAAATAAAAAAATAAAATCTCTGGGTCTCAGTTTTCTAATCTCTCAAAAAGAGTTAATAATATCCTTTTGGGGATATGAAGAGTAAATTAAATAGCACATATAAAAGCACCCAGAGAAATGCCTGGTCCAGAAAGCTCAATTTTGCTAATTTTCTTTCTGTTATTAACCCAAACCTCTTTGTGGCACTCAGGGAAGTCCACCTTTCTTGCAAGAAAAAGTGACTACTATAATAACAATAATTATAACAGCTACCACTTCTTAACTGCTGGGTACCATGTGTGTTGTTAGGTTGGACCCTTCTGTGGCCACGGCAGCTGCACAGCTCCAGGGGGCCAGCCACATAGACAGCAATGCACATGGCACACTGGGGAATGTGCCAGCAGTCCCACTCCACATGCACTCACTGACTGTCCTCACACTGACACTGTGAAGAAGGTCCTGTAATTTTTTTTTTTTTTTAGATGGAGTCTTGCTCTGTTACCCAGGCTGGAGTGCAGTGGCATGATTTCAGCTCACTGCAACCTCCGCCACCTGGGTTCAAGCGATTCTCCTGCCTCAGCCTCCCAAGCAGCTGGGACTACAGGCACATGCCACCACACCTGGCTAATCTTTGTATTTTTAGTAGAGACGGGGTTTCATCATGCTAGCCAGGCTGGTCTCAAACACCTGACCTCCAGTGATCCACCCGTCTGGGCCTCCCAAAGTGCTGGGATTACAGGTGTGAGCCACTGTGCCTGGCTAGAAGGTCCTATTATTAACCCCATTCTACAGAGGAACCTTGTAAGCTAGGTTCAGGAATTTGCCCAAGGTTTTTTAGCTATTAAGTGACATGAACAAATGGGAACCATAACCTTTGGGGATACTTTGCTGTGGCATTTTAAAAGTAACTAGTCTTGGGATACAGAATTACTGTAATCCTGCAGTGGCAGAGGGCAGGGAGCTGTGGGGGAGGACAGACCATTTCATTTTGAAAAACTGTCTCCAACCACACACCCCCGGCTCCTGCCTGCTGCCATATAAAATGCTTACCAGAACCCCAGAGCTGAGAATACAACCAGCTGTCTCATTTACTATTCTTACCCTCTAGGAAAGAGACAGAAAAATAAACACTCTGGAGTGTATTTTAACTCCAAATAATTTGAATTAAATATAGCAATTGTGAAATGTGTCATATGGACAAGCTTTGGAACCAAGTGGTTTGTTTATTCACTAAGTAGATATTGTCTGAATGTGGTAACAGAAGTTTCTTCTAGGGACCTGTCAAGGTACAAAGGGATTGTTCCTTGGATTTTTTTTCCTATGAAATTAAATAGTGGTAATACTATGATAAATGCTCAATATTCTGGAAGGACTTCAAGCTCATTTTCTCCAATCGCCTCAGCCTCATAGAGCATTAGTAGTCTGCTGTCTCTTACTGTAGGATGTTTTTGTGGCATTGGAACATCTCTCTAAAGGCTAAGAGCCCTCATAAAGTTGCTTACTTCAAAACTACGAATTTCAGATACTTTAAAAGAAATTTGATCAATCACAAACCCCATTTTCCCTTTGATAGGCTTTCATGATAGGTTTTGCCAAAACTTGCAGTGGCTGGCTGTGGTCTTGGAAATTTAGATTTGGGGAAGCATTTATTGTCACTATGTCTGAGCCAGGTCACTAGGCTGTGTGTGGTAACCAACATTATTCTCATAAGATATTCACTACTCCTTGCTCAGATAGCTTAACAGCAACCTCAGCTATCAAGAGTACAGCCTAGAGGAAGTCAAAGGAGGTGCGCTGTGGCTGCCCAGAGCTCATGCCCTTTACTCTTCAAAAAATTATTTCAGAAACTATTTGCTTCATAGAGGCACAGTTGAGTGTATGTATAGATTGTTTTCTGAGAAATAATTTGAATATTATCAAATTCACCTATTTAAAGTGCACAATTCAGTGGCTTTTAGTATATTCACACTTTTGTACAAACATCACCACTATCTAATTTCAAAACTTTTTCATCAACCCAAGATAAACCCCATATCCATCAGCAGTCATTATCCATTCTTTCTCCTTCCACCCCAAGTTGCTGGCAACAACTAATCTATATTCTTTCTATGGATTTTCATTTTCTGAACATTCCAGACAAATGGGATCATATAATATGTGGTCTTTTTTCACTTAGCATAATGTTTTCAAGGTTCATTCATGGTGTAGCATATATCAGCATTTCGTTGCTTTTTGTGGCTGCAAAATATGCCATTGTGTGGACTGTAGAATGGGACATGGCACTTACCGTTTCAGCAGTTGCTTCCACTTTTTAGGTATTATGAATAATGTTGGTATGAACATGCACACACAGGTTTTTGCATGAATCATTTGCTTTCAATTTTCTGATATATGTAGGAGTGGAATTGCTCGGTCATAAGGTAAATCTATGTTTGACTTTTTGAGGAACTGCCAACTGTGTTCCAAAGCAGCTGCACCATTTTACATTCCCACCAGCAATGTAAAAGGGTCCCAGTTTCTCCATATCCTCAACAATACTTGTCACTGTCTGTTTCTTTATTATAACTAGTTTAGTGGATGTGAAGTGGTAACTCATTGAGGTTTTGATTTGTGTTTCACTAGTGATGCAAAACTAATGATGTTAGACATATTTTTGTATGTTTATTGGTCATTTGTATGTTTTGTTTGGAGAATATTCAAATACTTTGTTGATTTTTAAATTGAGCTGTTTGTCTTTTTATTGTTGAGTTGTAAGAATTCTTTATATATTCTGAATATAAAGTCCCTTAACAGATATATGATTTGTAAATATTTTCTCCCATTCTGAAGATTGTCTTTTTACTTTCTTTTTTACCACGCCCAGCTAATTTTTGTATTTTTAGTAGAGATGGGGTTTCACCATGTTGGCCAGGCTGGTCTCGAACTTCTGACCTCGTGAGCCACCTATCTCAGCCTCCCAAAGTGCTGGGATTACAGGCATGAGCCACCGCGCCCGGCCATCTTTTCACTTTCTTAAGGGTAAACTTGGAAGCATAAAAGCTTTTAATTTTGAAGAAATCCAATTTTTTTTTCTTTTGTTGCTTGTGCTTTAGGTGTTACATCTAGGTAATTATTGCCGAAGCCAAAGTCAAGAAGATTTACACCTATGTTGTCCTCTAGAAGTTTATAGTTTTAGCTCTTACATATAGATCTTTGATTCATTTTAATTTTTGTTTGCATATCAGTGTCTAGCTGTCCCAGCGAGAGTTGTTGAAAAGACTGTTCTTTCCCTCATTGAACTGTCTTGGCATCCTTGTCTAAAATCAATTAACCATAAATGTATGGATTTATTTCTGGATTCTCAATTATATTCTGTTGACTTATATGTCTCTCTATCTTTATGTCAGTACCACATAGTCTTGATTATTGTACCTATGCACTATGTTTTGAAATTCAAAAATGTGAGTCTTCCAACTCTATTCTGAGATTATTTTGGCTATTCTGGGTCCCTTGAATTCCATATGAATTTTAGGTTCAGCTTTTCAATTTCTGCAAAGAAGCCAGCTGGAATTTTTGTGGTAATTAATGAATATTGCCATCCTAACAATGTTAAGTATTCTAATCCATGGATGTCTTTCCATATTTATTTAGGTCTTCCTTAATTTATTTCAATTATGTTTTATAGTTTTCAAGGTCCAAAAGAAGTCTTATACTTCTTTTATTGAATTTATTCCTAAGTATTCTGTTTGCATGGTATTATAATGGAATTGTTTTCTTAATTTAAATTTCAGATTGTTTATTGATGGTTTATAGAAATATAATTTATTTTTGTATACTAATCTTATATCCTGCAACCTGGCAGAACGTGTTTATTAGCTCTAATTGCTTTTATGTAGATTCCTTAGAATTTTCTATGTATGAGATTATGTCTACAAATAGAGATAGTTTTGTGTCTTCCTTTCCAATCTGGATGCCTGTTTTATTTCTTTTATTTCTTTTTGTTTCTTTTCTTTTTCTTTTTTTTTTTTTTTTGAGATGGAGTCTTGGTCTTGTCACTCAGGCTGGAGTGCAGTGGCACAATCTTGGCTCACCACAACCTCCACCTCCCAGGTTCAAGGGATTCTCCTGCCCCAGCCTCCCAAGTAGCTGGGACTACAGGCACGTGCCATCATGCCTGGCTAATTTTTGTATTTTTAGTAGAGACAGGGTTTCACTATGTTGGCCAGGCTGGTCTTGAACTCCTAGCCTCAGGTGATCACCCGCCTCAGCCTCCCAATCTTTTATTTCTTTTTATTTATCTTTCTTGCCTAATTGTCCAGCTAGCACCACCAGTACAAACTTCAACAGACATGGTGAGAGTAAACATCCTTGTTTGTTCTTGTTCTTATTGGGAAAGATTTTAGTCTTTTGCCATTAAGTATGATTTTAGCTGTAGGCTTTTCATAGATATCATTTTAAGGTTAAGGAATTCCCCTTCTAGTCCTAGGTTTTTGAGTATTTATATCTTGAAGCGCTGTTGAATTTTGTCAACTTGTTTTTTCTGACTCTATTGAGATGATAATGTGTTTTTTTTTTGCTGAGGATCTTTGCATCTATATTCATTAGCAATATTGGCCTGTAGTGACTTTTTTTCTTTGGCTATCAGGGTAACACTGACCTCATAAAGTCATAAAGTGTTGAGAGTGTTTTCTTTCTTTCTTTTTTTTTTTTTGAGATGGAGTCTCGCTCTGGCTCTGTCGCCCAGGCTGGAGTGCAGTGGCGCCATCTCGGCTCACTGCAAGCTCCGCCTCCCGGGTTCACGCCATTCTCCTGCCTCAGCCTCCCCAGTAGCTGGGACTACAGGCGCCCACCACCACACCTGGCTAATTTTTTTGTATTTTTAGTAGAGACGGGGTTTCACCGTGTTAGCCAGGATGGTCTCGATCTCCTGACCTTGTGATCCACCCGCCTCGGCCTCCCAAAGTGCTGGGATTACAGGTGTGAGCCACCTCGCCTGGCCAAGAGTGTTTTCTTAACTTTTTTTTTTTTTTATGAAAAGTTTTTGAAGTACTGGTATTAATTCTTTAAACATTCTATTGAATTCACCAATGAAGACTTTGGACCTAAATTTCCATTGGTGGGATTTTTTTAAATTACTAAATTAATCTCCTATAATACATGCATTCATTTTCCATTTTCTTGAGTTAGTTTTGGTAGTTTGTGTCTTTCTAGGAATTTTTCCATTTCATATAAGTTATGTATTTTTTGGCATACAGTTGTTCGTAGTATTAGTTTATAATCTTTTTTATTTCTGTAAAATTTGTAATTATGTCCCTGTTTCATTACTGGTTTTACCAGTTTGAGACTTTTTAGTTCTTAATTAGTCTAACTAAAGATTTTTCAACCTTGTTAATCTTTTCAAAGAATAAAATTTTTGATTCTGTTGATTTTCTCTATTTTTATTTTATTTTCACTCCAATATTTATTATCTCTTTCCTTCTGCTTGCTTTGAGTTTAGTTTGCTCCCACTTTTCTAGTTTCTTAAGGTAGAAGGTTAAGTTATTGACTTGAAATATTTCTTCCTTTTTAATCTCACTGCAACCTCTGCCTCCCAGATTCAAGTGATTCTCCTGCCTCAGCCTCCCGAGTAGCTGGGCTCACAGGCATGTGCCACCACACCTGGCTAATTTTATATTTTTAGTAGAGACAGGGTTTCTCCATGTTGGTCAGGCTGGTCTCGAACTCCCGATCTCAGGTGATTTGCCCGCCTCAGCCTCCCAAATGGCTGGGATTACAGGTGTGAGCCACTGCGCCTGGCCTAACTCCAGAATTTCTATTTTTAAAATATCTCTTTCTTGATATTCTTTATTTGGTAAGATAGTGTTCTCATACTTTCCTTTAATGCTTTAAACATGTTTAATGCTTTGTACATATTTAAAATTGATGATTTAAAAATATTTTCCTAATAAATCCAGCATCTAGGTTTTCTCAGGAATAATTTCTGTTGATTCTGTTGATTTTTTCTCCTTGTGTGTGGGCCATACTTTTTCGGTTTTTATTTATTTTTTGCATGTTTAATAACTTTTTGCTCAAAACTGGACATTAAAAAAAAAGTGTGTCAACTTTGGAAATCAGATTTTCCCCCATCCCCAGGGTATGTTTTTGTTGCTGTTTGTTATTTGTTTGTTTGTTTAGTAACTTACCTGCACAAATTCTGTAAACTCTGTATTCTTTGTTCTATATGGCCACTGAAGTCTCTGTTTGAATAGCTTAATGTCAGCTAATGATTAGACAGATTTCCTGAAACACTTGAAACCAATAGGTCTCTTAATGTTTGCTGAGAGGCTCTGCGTATGTGTTCAACACTCAGCATGCAGTTGACAGCTCTGCCTTAGCCTTCACTTTCTGCTGGTGTAGATCCTCAAGGTCAGCCTGATGTTAGAGTTTAGGGTGTTCTCAGGTTATCCCAACCATGTGAACAGCCATGGGCATAAATATGTGCTCTGCCAGTGCAAATGGCCTTCTAGATTCATAGGAATATTTTGGAGCTTTTCCAAGCCCCTATGGATGCCCATTTCCCAGTTGAAAAAAAAATCCTTTCGGGTAACCTATTAATTGTCCTAAACATTACTCACTGCCTCAGGCAGTTGTGAAATTAAATAATTCCCTCTAAATGTTTTTGAGAAATGCCCCCGGGCAAAGGCTTTTTGCGCTGGGTGAGCTCTGAGTTTCAACTCAAGTCAAATAAGACAGCCTTGCAAGTGGGATCTTCCAGAGAACTTCCAGACAAGTCAAATAATAGGACTTCTGTTGGAATAGAGCATTGAAGGAACTCTAACTCTATTCTGCTTCCTCTAGAGACTGCCAGGCTGCTGGTATTCAAGGTAACTGCAGAACTAGGAAACAGGGAGAGGATGAAGGAGGACAGAGCTCACTGTTTTCATCATGACTCAAATGTTTTTCCAGAATAAATGCTCCTAGACTGCTGCGAGCCTTTGGTTACTTTTCAGAGTTCTGAATACGTGATTTTGACCATTTTTGCTAGGCTTCATGTTGCCTTTATGGAGGAGAGAATTTTCAGAGGTCCTTACTCTGTTAATTTCACTGATGTCACTAAAGTTACAGTTTTAACTCTTATGGGTATCTATCTTTTCAGGCAATGTCAGTTTAGTAAAAGGGACAGGATGTTAGCAAAGGAAGGCATTACCAGCAATAAGAAGTGATAGCTGCCACGGGAAGCAAATGCAGAAACAGCAGCCTGGGCTGTTCCATGCAGGGGTAAGTGGTGGCTGTATATGAATTGCTCTTGAGTATACTCATATTTAACCCAGGTTATATTTGTTTGCTAGGGCTGGGGTATTTTCTTACAGTTCTGGGGGCTCGAAATCCATGATCAAGGTGTCTGTGGGGTTGGTTTCTGCTGAGGCCTGTCTTTGGCTTGCAGATGGCCCTCTTGCTACCTCTTCACATGGTCCTCCCTCTGTGCACATGCGCCCCTGGTACCTCTCTGTGGTGTCCAAATTTCCCCTTCTTATAGGGACACCAGTCATATTAAATTAGGACCCACACTAATAGCCTCATGTTAACTTAGTCACTCCTTTAAACCCTATCTCCAAAATACAATCACATTCTGAGGTACTAAGGGTTAAGACTTCAGCATATGAATATTATGGGGACAAAATTCAGCCCATAATACCACTATATAAAACTTATTCATATTGACGTCCATGAGACCTAAAAAGGGGAGGAAAGTTTTCAGTTTGGTGTAGCAGTCCTTGAAGGGAATTGTAAGGTGTATTTTATATGTATTCCGTTCTCATTATAGAAAAGTATATAATGATCATGGGATGGACTTGGGCTTCTAGAACAGCTAGTTGCAATAGTTTTTTCCTGCAGGGATGTCTGTTATGGGTGACAGTTATATGTGCAAACAGTCCCTTGGGCCTCTGTACCACCTTCATTCCCCTTTCAGGAAACCACTTTAAAAGGCCAAATGATGGCTCAATCTGATTTCTACCAAAGAAAACTATTATTAAGAGCTTACTCACAGTGCACTTCACTATGATCTAGTCACATATATGATTTTATGTATTTTGCAACATATAGTTAAATACTATTGGTTGGCCAGGCATGGTGGCTCACGCCTGTAATCCCAGCACTTTGAAAGGCCTAGGTGGGCAGACCACTTGAGGCCAAGAGTTCAAGACCAGCCTGGCCAACATGGCGAAACCCGTTTCTACTAAAAATACAAAAATTAGCTGGGCATGGTGTCATGCGCCTGTCATCCCAGCTACTCGGGAGGCTGAGGCACAAGAATCACTTGAACCCAGGAGGCAGAGGTTGCAGTGAGCTGAGATTGCACCGTTGCACTCCAGCCTGGGCAATAGAGTGAGACTCTGTCTCAAAAAAAATAAAATACTGTTGGTCTAGAAATTATACATATTAGAAAATCTTGGCTGGGTGCAGTGGCTCACACCTCTAATCCCAGCACTTTGGGAGGCCACGGCTGGTGGATCACCTGAAGTCAGGAGTTCAAGACCAGCCTGGCGAAACCTCGGCTCTACTAAAAATACAAAAATTAGCCAGGCATGGTGGCGCACGCCTGTAGTCCCAGCTAGTCGGGAGGCTGAGGTAGGAGAATTGCTTGAACCTGGGAGGCAGAGGTTGTAATGAGCCGAGATCGTGCCACTGCACTCCAGCCTGGGCGACAGAGCAAGACTCTGTCTCAAAAAAAAAAAAAAGAAAAAAGAAAAAAGAAAATCTTTATACTGCTATGTTGAGAGATAAATGAATGACTTGTACTACCAAAGCTGTTTTTGATGAACCGTGGTGTCAACTTGTATCTGTCTTCCAGGAGTTCAGCTCAGGTGGGCAAAACCAGATAACTAACATGAACAGTGGAACAATCAGTGAACCAATACAAGGGTTAAATAAGCTAGCAATTAAAAGCTGTATCACTGGTCTAAAGATAGAAGATCAAGTAGAAAATCAGCGCAAGAGGAAAGATATACGAAAACTAATGACCTTCAAGGTTTGGCTGAACAGCTGAACTGCAGGATGGATTGGAATGCCTAGAACCAGAAACTTAGGATGCCTAGAACCAGAAACTCAGCCATTGCTGAGGTTCACTGCTTCTCAGCGCTGCTGCTTTATACACACAAACTGTATTCTCTCCCACTGTTTTGTCTTCTTTCATAAAGCAGGAAACATAGGTGCTCATAACTTGTGAGTTTTAAGTCTTACTCTAGAGTTTACAAATGCAAATGCCTCTAGGTGCCAGGAAAGTGACATAAGTAAGTGAAGCAAGCTGAATGTGCCAATCCTGAGTGGTGGGGACTGGCAAACTGGAAACCCCATGCCCTGTCTCCAGAGTCAGCCATGACTCACTGCCAGTCTATTGCCAGGTAGGAATGTGAGCTTAGACTTTCAGATTTTTCCAGAGAAACTTGACATCTAGATTTTTATGTGAATATCCTGATTTCTAATGCTGGCAGTGAATTCAAACTAAAAACCAACACTGTGTTGTCCAAACAAAACACATTTGTGGGTTACATTTGACCTCTTGATTCATGTGTTACTTTTGGAGTTAAATAACTCGAGGTCTGAAAATTGACCACTGAGTTTGGCCACATCAAGCTTATTAATGACCTTGACAAAGCCAATTTCAGAAGATGATGGGGTGATGCCTGAGTAGAGAGGGTTCAGTAGAGAACTGGGGATGAGGAAGTAGCTATGACCTATATGGACAGCTCTTTAAAGGATTTGGCGTAGAGAGGAGCAGAGAATTGGGGTAAGAGCTGGAGAGCACAGGAAGTTGCTAGGGGATCTTAAAAGAGGGGACAAATGACAGAATGTCTGTTGATGCTGATGGAAATAATCCACTACAGGGTGAAAACGTCATGAAAGAGGAGGATTATGCTAACACATGAGGAATTTCATGGGCAGGAAGAAATGGGGACTGGTTTACAAATGGAGGAGCTGACCCTAGATAGGAGCCCTTGAAGCTTGTGTATTGGGACAGGACAGCAGAATATATGGGAGCAGATGCCTGTAGATTTAGTGGCAGCAAGATAAGGGAATTCTCTTCAGATTGCTCTAATTTCTTGTGAAAGAAGAGGCAAGATCACCATCAACTGAGGGTGAAGATGGAATAGGAAGGGACAGGAGAGGTTGTGATTCTGTCATCTTGGAGTAGGCCCACATCTTGGGGGCTATCTTGGGGTGCTATGCCTTACTCCTCTTTTCTGAACATCATTAAAATGTAATTTTGTATTTTTGCATTTAATGCTATCCCGCAGGCCCTGAAAGATGCCTAAAAGGCAGCCTTCCCTCAGGTACCATTGTGCTGAGGTTTGCCACCCGCATCTTCTTGAGACAGCCCCACTAAGACAATGAGAGCGTGTCCTGACCCATTAATGTGCCCAGGTTCCCAAACGCCTCTGTCAGCCTGTGGTCTTGACTTTGAAGTAAAACCAGTCCCCTGGTTGCTGTTTCCCCAGCAACATTAACTGCTGGGGTGCAGAGTGAGGCAGGAGGAGAGTCAGACTTAGCCAGGCTTTGAGTTGCACCAGGCAGATAATGTAGAGGGAGGGGGGCAAGTCATACTTTCCTACTTGTAGAGTAGTGCTTACTTTACAGAGTACCTATGAAGATTTGTAAAAATGCACACTTGGCTTCTGGCCTAGCACATAGGTAATTCAGTCATTACTTGGTGAAGGACATGAATAATATATGTAAAATATCTGGCCATTAGAAGAAGCTGGGAAGGGCTAACAGGATGTATGAGAGACTGCTTCTGAGTCTTAATGGCCAGGCATTGTGCTGAGGCTGTGGGCCATGGAGGAGCTCCCGTCTTGGCACAGGAGAAAGAAATGTGGACACACCGCTACCGTGTAGTGTGATGAGTCTAGGAATTAAGATATACCAGTGGTAATTAAATCTCAAAATAATAGTGTCTTAACAGAAATAAACCCATGCATAAATGGTTGGTTGACTTTGACAAAGTGCCAAGTGCACACAATGGGGAAGGACAATTGGACATCCACATGTAGAAAAAGGTAGTTGGATCCTATCACACCACATATAAAAATCAACCCAAATGGAGTGAAGACTTAAATGTAAGACCTGAAACTATAAAACTACTGGAAGAAACATAGGAGAAATTCTTCATGATGCTGGTCTAGGCAATGGTTTTTTTTGGATTTGATCCCAGAAGCATAGGCAACAAAAGCAAAAATCGACAAATGGGATTATATGAAACTAACAAGCTTTTGCGCAGCAAAGGAAACAATTATCAGAGTGAAAACACAGCCTATGGAATGGGAGAAAATATTTGCAAACCATATATCTGATAAGGGGTTAATATTCAAAATGTGTAAGGAACACAATAGCAAGAAAACAAATAACTCTATTAAAAATGAGCAAAGAAGGCCGTGCATGGTGGCTCACACCTGTAGTCTCAGCACTTTGGGAGGCAGAGGAGGGAGGATAACTTGAGCCCAGCAGCTGGAGACCAGCCTAGGTAACATAGCGAGACTGTCTTGACAAATAATAAAATGATTAGCCAGGTGTGGTGGCATGCACCTGTAGTCCCAGCTACTTGGGAGGCTGAGGCTGCAGTGAGCCATAATTGTGCCACTATACTCCATCCTGGGTGACAGAGAGAGACCCTGTCTGGAAAAAAAAGACACAGGACCTGAATAGACATTTCTTAAAAGAAGACATACAAATGGCCAACAGGTATATGAAAAAATGGTCAACATCACTAATCGTCAGGGAAATGCAAATAAAACCACAATAGTATATTACCTCACATCTGTTCAAATGATATTATCAAAAAGACAACAAGAGAAAAGGGAACTCTTGTACATTGTTGGTGAGAATGTAAATTAGTACGACCATTATGAGAAACAATATGGCAGGCCGGGTGCAGTGGCTCACACCTGTCACCTCAGCACTTTAGGAGGCCAAGGTGGGCAGATCACCTGAGGTCAGGAATTCAAGACCAGCCTGGCCAATGTGGTGAAACCCCGTCTTTACTAAAAATACAAAAATTAGCCGGGCGTGGTGGTAGGTGCATGTAATTCCAGCTACTTGGGAGGCTGAAGCAGGAGAATTGCTTGAACCCAGGAGGCGGGGTTGCAGTGAGCCGAGATCGCACCATTGCACTCAAGCCTGGGCAACAGGAGTGAAACTCCATCTCAAAAAAAGAAAAAAAAAAAAACCCCAAAAAACAATATGGCAGTTCCTCAAAAAACTAAAAATAGAACTCCCTATGACCTACCAGTCCTACTGCTGGGTATAGATACAAAGGAAATGAAGTCAGTATGTGCAAAAGATATATCTGCACTCCCATGTTCACTATAGCACTATTCACAATAGCCATGGCCAGGTGTGGTGGCTGATGCCTGTAATCCCAGATGTTTGAGAGGCCAAGGTGGGAGGATCACTTGAGGTCAGGAGTTCAAGACCAGCCTAGCTAACATGGCAAAACCCCTTCTTCTACTAAAAATACAAAAAGTAGCCAGGTGTGGTGGTGCATGCCTGTAATCCCAGCTACTTGGGAGGCTGAGGCAGGAGGATCGCTTGAACCCAGGAGGCAGAGGTTGCAGTGACCTGACATCATGCCACTGTGCTCCAGCCTGAGCGACAGAGCAAGACTCCGTCTTAAAAATAAAAAAAGTAAGTTCACAGTAGCCAAGATACGTATATGTGGAATCTAAAAAAGTCAAACTCACAGAAGCAGAGAGTAGAAGGTTGGTTGCCAGAGGCTGGGGAAGGAATGGGGAGATGTGGTCAAAGGGTACAAAGTTTTAGTTAGACAGGAAGAATAAATTTTTGAGATAAATTGCACAGGTTGGTGACTATAGTTAATAATAATGTATATTTCAAAATTGCTGAAAGTAAATTTTAATGTATACTCACCACAAAAAATAAGTGAGGTGATGAATATATTAATTAGTTTGATTTAACCATTCCACAATGGGTACATATATCAAAACACCACATTGTACCCTATAAATATATACAATTAAGATTTGTCAAAAACAAAACAAAATCATAGTATCTTGGACAAGATAGAAGTTTCTTTCTTGGGCATCAGTCTGGATATGAGAAATCTTGGGTTGGTATGGCAGCTCCATGATTATGAGGCAGCTCCTTCTAATGTCGCACCACCATCCCTAAGGTTGCCCTAAGGTGTCCCTAAGGCACCCCTAAGGTGTTATCTTCTTGTGGCCCAAAACAGCTCACCATCACACCAGTGAAGGGAAGAAAAGGAGATGACTGGCACAGTGGTTCCTTGTGCTCTGGATATCACCCACGCACATCTCTTTTGCCAGAACTTAGTGCACTTGGCCATAAGGGAGGTTGAGAAATGTAATCTTTATCCTAGGCAGCCATGTGCCTGTCAAAAAATGGCAGGTTCTGGAACTAGGAGAAACTGGATATCTGGGGACAACCAGCAGTCTCTGGTAAGCTATAACAGTCATGGGAACAAAGTGCTTTGGGAAAGCGGGGAGGGGAACTGTGGAGAGGGTGGAGAGGAGGATTAGGAAGACCTTGGAGAAGAGGGAAGGGTGAGCTGGATTTTGCAGGATGATTGCTAGTTGAGCGTAGAGAGCCATGCAGTCTAAGAGAGGAGGTCCAGAAGATTGCAGTGTGTATGGTTCTGTGGTTGCCCCACAATCCCTGAATAGACCTCTGATCCTTTGCTTCTGGTGCTCCTTTTGTCTGGGATAATTTCTTGTTTCCACACATGGAAATCCTTCAATTCTTAGCTCACAAGCCACCTCCTCCATGGAGCCCTTCCTGATCCCTGACCACTGGGATCGCTTTCCCTACTCTGAATTCCTGGCATTGGGTTTCTTTTACAGCTTTTGTCTGATTTTTGCCATACTTGTCTCTTCATTCATCCATTCACTTATTTATTTATTTATTTAACCTTTGCTCTCTTCAACATTAGATTTAAACTCCTTTTTGGGTGTCTGTAATAAATGTTAATGCAGAGACTGGGGCATCCCGGACGCAAACAGGGAAGATCCTTTTGGGTCAAGGCCTGACTCTGGTCTGACTTCCCCATGGCTCTTCTGTGAAGCTGTAGCACTTTTTCCCATGGCGAGGTCAGGTCTCGTGTGTAAGTCCATAACTGCGTATTGTCTTGCATTACTTCCTGTGTCTTGCCTTGTTTGTGAATCTCCCTGGCCAGGTCGTAAGCACCTGGAGGGCGATAGCCACTGCTTTGTTACACTTCTTTTCTACCACCCCAGCACCTGGGGCATTTCCAGGCAAGCAGCTTTTTAGTATGTTTTCAGGAAAAGGGCCTTGGTGAGGGCAGCACGGAAAGGAGGAGAAAGTCCTGACTCAGTAGGTTTAGGATGACGCCCAGAAGCCTCATTTTGTTTTGTTGGTTTTTTCCTCCCTCCAGAGTCTCTCTCTCAATCTCTCTCTCCCTGCCCCCTCTCTAGTTTTTCACTTTCTTCTTTTTTTTGGTGGTAAAATACCCATAACATAAAAATAGGCTATTGGGGCTGGGTGCGGTGGCTCACGCCTATAATCCCAGTACTTTGGGAAGCTGAGGCGGGCAGATCACTTTGAGGTCAGGAGTTCAAGACCAGCCTGGCCAACATGGTGAAACCCCATCTCTACTAAAAGTACAAAAATTAGCCAAGTGTGGTGGTGGGCGCCTGTAATCCCAGCTACTCGAGAGGCTGAGGCAGGAGAATCGCTTGAACCCAGGAGGTGGAGGCTACAGTGAACCGAGATTGTGCCACTGCACTCCAGCCTGGGTGACAGAGTGAGACTCCGCCTCAAAAGAGAAAACAGGTCTACAGTTCTGTGGCATTAAGTGCATTCACATTGTTGTGCAGCCATCACCACCATCCATCTCCAGAACTGCAGCCTCCAACTCCTGGGCTCAAGTGATCCTCCCACCTCAGCCTCCTGAGTAGCTGGAACTACTGGCACAGGCCGCTGTGTGTAGCTAATTTTATTTTTTACTTTTTGTAGAGACAGCATCTCCCTATGTTGCCCAGGCTGGTCTCAAACTCCTGGCCTCAAGCAGTCTTCCTGCCTTGGCCTCTCAAAGTGCTGGAATTGCAGGTGTGAGTGCCCAGCTGCTTGTTGTCTTATTATTGAGCTTTAAGAGTTCTTTATATATTCTGGTTACAGATTCTTTATCAGATATATGATATATCATTATTTCTCTCAGTCTTGGGCTTTTCTTTCATTTTCTAAACAATGCCTTTTGAAGAGCACAAGTTTTAACTTTTGATGTCCAATTTGTCCAATTTTTTTCTTATGTGAATTGTGCTTTTGGTGTCATATCTAAGAAATCTTTGTTATAAGATTGCATTATAACTTGCATTATAATTGCACCTTGTTTGCATTAAGCAAGGTGTCAAAGACTTTTCTTCAATCTTATATTCTAGAACTTGTTTAGTTTTAGCTCTCACATTTAGGTCTATGAAAAATCTTGAGTTAGTTTTGGATTATGCTATAAAGTCAGTGATTTTATATTTTAGTTTAATTTTATGCAATTCATACATTTACAAGGCTTGAAAAATCAATGTGTCCTAAAATGAAAAGCAGCAATCCTGTGCTCTAACTTTTTACTTCACACCTTCAATGCTCATATGCAGTCATTATCAACTCACTTATATTTTTTCTTCTGGTATTTACCTCCAAGTAACCACTGCATATACTACTACTGATTGATTTCTAACTTTAGACATTATCTACTGATTTCCTACCATTGAAGAGTAGCTTGGTTTTCTAACACCTTCCCACAGTCCCCCCAACCCTACCATGATCCCAATAGAGATATCTCACAAATCTCAGCTGATTCAGTGTTTAGTGCTTACGTTACTATGATTATGTACAGATTACCCATAGTGAAGCAAAATAGCATATTATACTGACATTTCCTTCTTTAAACTTTTTTTCTCCTATAGTTAATAACTCACTTTTTAATTTGTTTGGCTTTGTAAGTACCAGTCACTAAGTTATTCCCATGTTCTCTGACAAAACTCTACAGTACCTCCCAACATAGTGAAAACAATCAGGCTGTCTCTAAGTGTGTCTGTTCTTGTGTATTTGATTTTTGGATCCTCTCTTGCTTCTTTGGCTCCTGTCTGGACTGGTGCCCTCTATGCCCGCAGCCCACATGCTGTTCTGGGACTTCTCTTCACCAGGGATGTTCTTTCTTCCTGTGTGTTGAATCTTGTTTCTTGGACATCATGTCTTCTTTTTTCTCGGTGGATTCCCTGTTTTGGTGGAGCACTTCCCCTATAGCACCCTAAAGCATGGTGCATGGGAAGAGAATTTCCTAAGATCTCGTTGACAGAATTGTCTTTATTCTACTTCCAGCCTTGTGTGAGAGTTTGGTTGCATATAAAATCTAGGTTGGAAATCATTCTTCTTCAGAATTTTAAGGTCAGCACCCATCATCATACAGCTTTGCTGGTGCTGTTGAGATGTCTGAAGACATTCTGATCGCCAGTTCTTTGTGTGTGTGTCTTCTCTTTTCCTCTCTGGAATCTTTAGTGAAGCTGTAGAGGGCGGTGTGCAGGCCTGGCTACCGTGGTCTGGGAGTTGAGTGGGGAGTCTTGGAGTTTCCACTTTCACTCACACCCTCTCCCAAACACTGCCCTGCCTTCAGCTGGGCCTGAGTGCCCCGTACAGCATCTCCTGGTTCATTTCTCCAGATGTAGGGTTGCCTACTGATAAAACAAAAGACCCCCGGTTGAATTTGAATTTCAGATAAGCAACAAAGAAAGTTTTAGAATAAGTATGTCCCATTGCAACATTTGGGATATACTTTTACTAAAAAAAGAAATTGTTGTTTATCTGAAATTCAGATTTAGTTGGGCATCCTGTTTTTTTTTTTTTTTGTTTTTTGTTTTTTGTTTTTCTCGAGACAGAGTCTTGCTCTGTCGCCCAGGCTGGAGGGCAATGGCGCAATCTTGGCTCACTCCAACCTCCACCTCCTGGTTCAAGCGATTTTTCTGCCTCAGCCTCCCAAGTAACTGGGATTACAGGCGTGTGCCACCATGCCTGGCTAATTTTTTTGTATTTTTAGTGGAGACGGGGTTTCACCATGTTGGCCAGGCTGGTCTCAAACTCCTGACCTCATGATCCACCTGCCTTGGCCTCCCAAAGTGCTGGGATTACAGGCATGAGCCACTGCGCCCTGCTGGGCATCCTGTTTTGTTTTTTTTTTTTACTGGCTAAATCTGGTAACCCTATCCAGATGGAAACCTCCCTTTTCCTGTGAGGGAGGGACAGTCACCTAGCTGGGAGAGCTGGGAGAGGCATCTATGTTTAACTACCATAGTGACTTTGATTTCCAACCCAGATTTCTATACAGCAGCCAAACTCTCACACAAGGCTGAAAGTAGAACAAAGACATTTCGCTCAGACAAGATCTTACAGACCGACTCCTTCTGATTTTAACCTATCCCCATATACCCCTGCCTTCACAGGTGTTTGACATCTTTAGTTCCTGAGCTTTCCCCTCCCTGAGCCCCACTTTTGCAAGCAGTTGCCAAATAGAGGAAAACTAAATCACTTCATGTTTGTCTGTTGTCCAAATTCTGAAGTTCCTATGACATCTCACACCCGTTATTCTCTTTCCTTCTCTTTGGCTTTGTGGGTTTTTACCTTTTTATTCTTAAATTATCATGTCAGGGGGGTGTCTTGAAGGAGAAGAGAGAATTTTAGGGGCAAACTTCTGCTAAAAGACATATAGAAAAGTGTGCAAATCATGAGTGTGAGCTCATTGAAGTTTACAAAGTGAACACAACCATGCAAGTAGCATGGGGATCAAGAGGAAGAACATGACTAGGTGCCTCAGATGGTAGTTCCAGTTACTACCCACCTCTCCAAGGATGCCTACTATCCTGCCTTCTAGAAAACTTTTTATAAGGACTAGATAGTAAATATTTTAGGGTTTCCAGACCATGGGGTATGTGTTGTAGCTACTGAACTCTGCCATTTTAGTAGAAAAGCAGCCATAGATTATAGTAAATGAGTGGGCATGGATGTGTTTCAATAAAACTCTATTTAGAAAGAAAGGCATGGGCAAGATTTGGTCTACAGCAGGCCTGTACTGTTAACTTTCATCTATTCCCGACCCTCTCCTCCTCCATCTAGCTACATGCTGCAGAGACTAATTTCTAGGCAATGTGGTTGAGAGGTTAGGGACTCCCATCGTCCACCCAGATCCCATCCATAGAGCAGAGGTTCTACCTCAGGCATGGCACACTGAAAACACTGGGGTCTCTATCATCATTGCCCCAGCTTGTTCATAGGATGGAGATTCTACACCAGGAGAAACAAGCAGAGAAGACCAGAGGCCTTGGCCCCTATACAGCATTCTGTCCTTAAAGCTGGATGTCACTCTGAGAGAGGTGGATCACTGCTCCTGCCCTGGTTTTTGAGTGATGGCTCAGAGGATTTGCCCAGGGAGAGAGGCAGACCATAAGTTTGGAAGGCTTATAAATTCTCCCCAAAGGAACTAGCTTTACTTGCCACAAGATGTGGGGAAGTTCAAACCTAAGGGCACTCTCAAAAACAATACAGATGTTGATGGTAAGCATTTAAGAGGAGACTGGTAGCTCTTTGAGAGAAGTAAGATAAACCATAGACCAGCTAGTTTTCCAAAGAGAACCAGGGACAGAGACAGACAGGAAGATCTCTCCTGGGGTCAGAAGAAAACTCAAAGGCTGGCTTCCAGAAAGTGATCCAGACTTAATTGAATTAGACTGTGGAGCAATTTAGGCACCAGACCATTGTGGAAAACAGCAGAGTGATCAGCTAGTGGTTAGTGGAGGCTAACATTTAGGTGCTAGGTGTGATACCAACAGAGGCAGACAGCTCAACAGAGAGATCTGGAAAAGAAGACAGTTAAAGAAAGAGCTGCTGAATCTATTGTCATCCCAGGGTGACTGGGCAAGCCAGAGGCTGCAATTTCTGAGGAGCAACATCAGAGGCTCCACATTGTAGGGAAAACAGACTTTACTAAAACAAGCCAAGCCACTAAAGAAATAAGTAAACAACAAAACTCATGGGCAGGTGCAGTGGCTTGTGTCTGAAATCCCAGCATTTTGGGAGGCCAGGGTGGGAGGACTGCTTAAACGTAGGAGTTCAGACTGGGCAACATAGTGAGACCCCATCTCTATTTAAACAAGCAGGCAAACAAAGCCCCTGAAGACAGGCTGGGAAATCAGTATGCAGAATTGGTGTATTATCTAAAGTGTCCACTTTTCAAAAACAACTGTTAGAAATGGAAAGAAATAGGAAAGTGTGACCTATACACAGGAAAAACAAAGCAGACAATGGAAACTGCCTGTGAGAGGCCCAGTGTCAGATTTCTTTTTTTTTTTTTTTGAGTCGGAACCTTGCTCTGTTGCCAGGCTGGAGTGCAATGGCACGATCTGGGCTCACTGGAACCTCCGCCTCCTGGGTTCAAGTGATTCTCCTGGCTCAGCCTCCCAAGTAGCTGGGACTGCAGGTGCATGCCACCACGCCCAGCTAATTTTTATATTTTTAATAGAGACGGGTTTCACCACGTTGGTCAGGATGGCCTTAATCTCTTGACCTCGTGTTCCCCCCCCCTTTGCCTCCCAAAGTGCTGGGATTACAGGCATGAGCACCTGGCCCCAGTGTCAGATTTAACTTGCAAAGATTTCAAAGCAGCCATTGTAAATATGGTCAAAGAACTAAAGGACACCATGAAGCAAAGGAAGGTATTATGATGTTGCATCAAATAGAGAATATAAATAAAGAGGTAGAAATGATAAAAATAACCAAGTGGAAATTCTGGAGTTGAAAAGCACTGGGAAAGGGGCCGTGGGAGCATTGCTGGGCAGAGTCAGCCCCCATGGTGACGGGAGAGGTGGGGCAATGAGTGAGCTGGCCTTGCTCCCTGCGACTGGGCCCCTAGCCTGCCTTGACAGTCTTTGGGGTGTGGCTCTCTCGGGGGCCAATGGGGACAATAATTCCTTACCTGCCTGAGGGCCAGGGCTGGGGCTGGATCCCCACACTAGGTCCAAGTCTGCATTCCAGATGGCAGTTGGGTTTTCCTGCTCACGGTGTTACTCTTCATCGTTCCTAATTTGTTTGTTTTTGAGACATGGTCTCACTGTGTTGCACAGGCTGGTCTCGAACTCCTGGGCTCAAGCGATCCTCCCACTTCAGGCTCCCAAAATGCTGGGATTATAGGCATGGGCCACTGTGCCTGGTTCCTTCCTAGTTTTAAAGGAACCAAAGAGCAATCCTGGCAGCATGACCTGTCTCCCTGAGAGCTCCTGATGTCATTCGAGTTCTAGGCTTGGAGTTCTAACTCCCCTGAGTCCCACGTCCTGCAGGTGGCTGGCTCCCATCTCACCTACAGCTGCTGCCTGCAGAGCTGGACTGAGGCTGGCACCTGGCATGGGGGAGCCAGGCAAGTCGAAACACCGGACAGTGTGGCCTGGTTGGGAGTGGCTCTGAGCAGACAGCCTGGGGTGGAGGTCTGCAAACTCACCAGAAGCCAGCCGGGGCTGCTGCCAGGCCGTCCACTCACTTGGACTCCTAGGTTTTTAGGACAGAGGAGGGCTTGGCCTCGAGGCACATCTGTGTGTGAGCCCCACCCCAGTGTACTTCCACTCCAGTGACCTGGGGCAGGCATCTGGTTTCCTGTCTCTAAGATGGGAATGATCATAATAGCCTCAACCTCCTTGCAGGGCAGGGCAGGGCAGGGCAGGCTGTGCTGGGCCATTCCAAGTGCAAAATGACCTCATGTATAGGGAGTAAGGGGCACAGTGCTTGCAGCTGGGCTGGTCGCGTTCACTGCTGTGATTATTAATGATGTAGAGAAAATCCTCCAGCAGGCGCTACAAAGGGATCCAGAATGAAGTCTTTTCTGTAAGATGATACAGTCACGTGTCATATCCCTGCCAAAAGAAAAACTTCAGCTGAATTAAATTTAAAGTTTAATTGAGCAATGAATGGCAATCGGGCAGCCCCCAGAATCACAGCAGGCTCAGAGAGACTACAGGGGTGCCTCGTGGTCAGAACAAATTTATAGACAAGTACGGAGTCCTTCTTAGGCCATATTTAATTCGCTTTAACAGTTTCACCACTTTGGTTCATTTTCTCAATTTTGAGAGATTGACCATAACTTTAATTATTGATGTTACTATCACCATTGTAAACGTACTTATTTGGTTTTGAAACCCACTGGGAAACAGTAGAACAGTGGGTTATGGAAGGTGGGAACAAAGACTGAGTAGTGGGTACCCCCTTATGCTGGAATGTCCTGTTGACAGGAGAAAAACAAAACCTGGGTCTGTTCTAGGATCTATGTGTTTCCTTAAAGTCTTAGTTTGATTATGTTACATTTTGCATGAGCAGTGCCATTTTTGTTTGGTTTGGTCTGTTATGGCCTACTGCATCAGCTTAGTATAAAACAGTGGTCTCCCATAGTTTTGTTTTTAAAAATTCCCTTGTTTTGTCCAGATTCTCACTTAGGTGAGAGTATGAAAACTTAAGGCCTTAGCACCACTCTCAATTACCATCATTTTGAGTTTCTGGTCTCAGCACATCATTCATAGGTTACAGTGTTTTCATGGTTGCACATTTCTTTCAGCTCTTGACATTCCAGTTGAAAAGAGACCATTTGACATTCCAAAGATGAATGCGTGCAAACATTTAAAACCTTCGAGAGAATATAGCGCATCAGGGAGACTATCATTATGACTATTGGGAAAATAATACCAAGAGTTCGGAGTATGCGCCTTACCCAGGGTCCCCACAAACCAAACTACCTAAAATCAAATAGATCAAAGAATGAGTTAAAGAGTCCACTCACTTAAATAGGCAGTCTCTTCATTAATTCCCTACAACTGAATCTCTATAATACTGGATGTTTTTTCCATAGGCCGTAAGTGCCAGCAGCTGCACAGATACTTTTCTGTTTAGCCAATTCTATTACCTAGCACAACTTACTTTTTTTTTTTTTGAGACAGAGTCTGGCCCTGTCGCCCAGGCTGGAGTGCAGTGGCACGATCTCGGAGGCTCATTGCAACCTCCGCCTCCTGGGTTCAAGCGATTCTCCTGCCTCAGCCTCTGCAGTAGCTGGGACTACAGGTGTGTGCCACCACGCCCGGATAATTTTTTGTATTTTCAGTAGAGATGGGGGTTTTACCATGTTGGTTAGGCTGGTCTCGAACTCCTGACCTTGTGATCTACCTGCCTCTGCCTCCCAAAGTGCTGGGATTACAGGCATGAACCACCGCACCCGGCCTTCTAGCATAACTTTCACAAGAGAATTTAAAGTCTGTTGTGTAACCATAGCCTTTACAGTAGAATCTGCTATAGAACCTATTATGAGGGATACATTTCTAATCATTGCCTCTTTTATTCCAAACCATGGAAAAAGGACATAACATATAGTCTCCTTCTATCATAGAAGAGTGAAGGCCTCCTAGCAATGTTCTCTTTAGCCCATGATGTGGGTTAAGAGGAGTGAATCAGTGTTCTGTTTCTGACTGATTCTGAAGCAACATATGTACCATTAAAGTTTCTCATCTACATTGGACCTTCATCTTTTACCTGTGAAAGTATAAGGTTATCCCTGTATAAGACTGGCTGTAAAATCCTTCACAAATAAAGGTATACCTAATAAGTGCACACAACAGACCCCCTTTTCATTTCTATTGTTCATAGAAGCATAAACAAGAAAAAATATTTAAAGATAAGAGTCTCATGATACTAGAAGTCTTGATCCCTGATCTTAGGAAAAGCTGTTCACATCAAGGATGCCATCTTCTTCTGGGGAGAGACTTTCCTGGCTAGTTTTACCTTAAGAGTTCCAATGGGTATACAGAGTATGGAGGGAGCCTTCTCAATTGTGAGATTAGGAACCCAAAGTTCAAGATTCCAAAGTTTTTTGTGGATGGCAAGGACAGTCTTTCTCTGATGTTCTCAGAAGATCCAGTCTTCAGGTTCTAGACTGTGAAGGGTTTGATTGTCCTCAGCAAACCATAAAAAGCTTTCTTTGGTGAAAATACACTGTAGCATAATAACTTAGTGTTATAACATCAGCCTTCTTCATGGGAGAGCTTTTATACAACCAGAAAACATGCATTGAAAATAACCATGGATGGCTGGGCACAGTGGCTCACGCCTGTGATCCCAGCACTTTGGGAAGCCAAGGCGGTTGGATCACCTGAGGTCAGGAGTTTGAGACCAGCCTGGTCAACATGGTGAAACCTTGTCTCTACTAAAAATACAAAAATTAGCCAGGCATGGTGGCAGGAGCATATAATCCCAGCTACTCAGGAGGCTGAGGCAGGAGAATCGCTTGAACCCAGGAGGCAGAGGTTGCAGTGAGATGAGATCGTGCCACTGAACTCCAGCCTGAGTGACAGAGTGAGACTCCATCTCAAATAAACAAACAAACAAAACAAAACAAAACAAAAAACAATGGAATGAAATCCCTTTATAGACTGTTTAAATGGTCCATCAGGTGACCAAACATACCTGAAGCTTTGATTGTTATCTCAGGAATATGAGACCAAACATTGGTTATAAACCATCTTAGCCATTTATAAGTCACCACACCAATATATTCAACTTGGATCATTTTATCTTTTCCATGGTGAGTCATGGAATGCAGAACTTTTAATAACAAAAGCTTTAAGGACTCAGGAAGGACAAGGCAGCCGTCCTGGTTATCCATGAGTCCATGCTTAATTAACATTAGACTTATATCCTCTTGAATACCAGTTGTTTTTCCAAATTAGGTGCATAGCACTGATAACCAATGGGTTATCATAGGTAATTTGACTTAGACCATGGAGTTCATTCAAATTGTATATCTAAACAATTTCAGTATTAGCTGATTTAGCATGAAAATCTGGCAAAGTATTTTCTTGGTATTTAATTAATCTTTGTTCTACTTGGGCTAGCAGTTTTGTAACTCAGTCAGTCTTCTCATTAAAGTTCCAGGAATTCTTACCCAGTTAAAATGATATGATTCTAAATTTATTAGAAATCTGTATTCCAGAGTGTTTTTTAGGGTCCTTTTTATCCTTTCATGGATCTCCTAAAAGACACCATATTCCAGGATTTTGTAGGCTTGTGAAGTTTTCAGAAACTGCATCAGCATTAACATTTAGTAATTAACTGCGGAAATGAATTTAAATAGTAATAGTTTTTTTTTTTTTTTTTTTTTTTGAGACAGAGTCTCACTCTGTTGCCTAGGCTGGAGTACAGTGGCGTAATCTGGGCTCACTGCAACCTCTGCCGCCCAGGTTCAAGCGATTCTCCTGGCTCAGCCTCCTGAGTAGCTGAGATTACAGGTGCGTGACACCACCATCAGCTAATTTTTGTATTTTTAGTAGAGACAGAGTTTCACCATGTTGGCCAGGCTGGTCTTGAACTCCTGACTTTAGGTGATCTGCCTGCCTTGGTCTCCCAAAATGCTGGGATTACAGGCATGAGCCACCCTGCCCGGCCAAATTGTTATAGTCAAAAACACAATTGACAAGGAAATTTGGATATTTCTGTGGTTTATAATAACATAACCATAATTATTATTGATAACATATACTCAAACATATTAGAATTTTAGAAATCCCATATAATTTTGGAACATATATTAATATTCACTAAAATATAAACTGAAGTAGATTAAATTTTTTTTAAAATTTTTGACAATGTTTCCCATGTAATGAAACATGTCAGATAATCTTGTTTACCTCTCTTTTGGATTCTTCAGGGGTCCTCTGTAGCATCTTAAAGCTAGAGGTCAGAAAAGACCATTTTGAAGCTGAAATTTGATTTCGGGAAGGCTATCAAATATGTTAAAGGTTTAAAACACTTGATATTATGAAATAGAATTCCAGGTTTCCATAAGTCATTCATTTAGCCACAATGATGACTCGAATATTTTTTTAAAGGCAAAACCTTTACTCATTGATAGAGGGAAGACTTAGCTTTCCAAACAATCTGTCTCTTTTCTTTCCCTTCTTTTGTTCAGTAGTTTATTCAAAAGGCAAATGAAAAGCTTCATTATCTGTTAATATGCATGAAAATCTTGTTCAAGAGAGAAAGCTAAACTTCACTCTTGCATTAGTTTACTATTAATGTTAACCCCAATTTTTAATAAAACCTTACAGACAAATCTTTCCAATCTTAATCAGTTTGACCATAAGATGAGATTATCATAAACCTTTTGTAACCCTTTACAAAGTTTTGTTAAAGAGCAGATCAGGCAGGGCACTGTGGCTCATGCCTATAATCCCAGCACTTTGGGAGGCCAAGGCGGGCAAATCACCTGAAGTTGGGAGTTTGAGACCAGCCTGACCAACATGGAGAAACCCCATCTCTACTAAAAATAAAAAATTAGCCAGGTGTGGTGGCACATGCCTATAATCCCAGCTACTTGGGAGGCTAAGGCAGGAGAATTGCTTGAACCCAGGAGGCAGAGGTTACGGTGAGCCCAGATCTCAGCATTGCACTCCAGCCTGGGCAACAAGAGTAAAACTCTGTCTCAAAAAAAAAAAAAAAAAAAAAAAAAAAAAAGAACAGATCAGTGATTTAAGGAAACCCTGTTTGTGCCTTTATTTTGATGTTCAATTTATGGAAAAATTGGAAAATACTCCTTTAAATTTAGTCAATATGTTCACATACAGAATTTTTTTTAACAACATTAATTTTTACAAAACTTCCACAACTTGTTCAAACCTTTAGCTTATTCTTATCTAAAACAATCCTTTAGCTCTCTAAACTATGCAAAAATTTACATTCCCATGCTTTCTTAGAATCTTTTACCAAAAACACATTTCATTCTCCTCACACACCTTGCATGTAAAACTATTTCTTCAGTAGTCTCAATCACGTGTTACAATGGTAACTCTTAGCAACTTTTACTTTTGGTGCATAAATTTTCTTTCACAAATCCTTTCACAATGTACACAAGCCATCTACAACATGCATGGACTTTCTGACTTGTCCTAAACATCCCTCTTTTTAAACAACAAGTTATTTTACTGGTTGTCCCCAGGCCTTATTTGGATTTTTTTTTTTTTTTTTTTTTTTGGAGACAAAGTCTCACTCACTCTGTCACCCAGGCTAGAGTGCAGTGGTCTGATCTTGGCTCACTGCAACTTCTGCCTCCCAGGTTCAAGTGATTTTTCTGCTTCAGCCCCCTGAGTAGCTGGAATTACAGATACATGCCACCACACCCAGCTAATTTTTGTATTTTTCATAGAGACATGGTTTCTCCATGTTGGCCAGGCTGCTTTCGAACTCCTGGCCTCAAGTGATCCACCTGCTTTGGCTTCCCAAAGTGCTGGGATTACAGGTATGAGCCATGTGCCTGGCCCTTATTTAGAATCTAATGCTCCAAAGTAGGTAAATTGAATAATTTTCAAAAGCCTAAGAAGCAGTTTATGACCTTAAAGCATTTAGCAAATCAAATATCTAACCTGCCTAATTTAGACCAAATGTCTTTATTTTACCAATAGTCTTTAAAGCTGTTTTTATTTCCCCAAGATTACTAAAGTTATGTGAACTAAGACATTACAGTTTTTACTTTTCTGCCAAAATATTTGATTTAAGTGCTTAGTTTTCTTAAAGCCAATTAATTAGAGCTCTTTTATATAAACATCACACACACAACACATATATAACTGCACAGACAGACAGAAGTAGTTGTAAGATTTTTCATTTGCCAATTTTTAAGTTGTGTGTATGCGTGTGTGTGTTTTTTGTCTTGAGACAGAGTCTCACTCTGTCACCGAGGCTGGAGTGCAGTGGCGTGATCTTGGCTCACTGCAACCTCTGCCTCCTGGGTTCAAGCGATTCTCCTGCCTCAGCCTCCTAAGTAGCTGGGATTACAGGTGTGTACCACCACACCAGGCTAATTTTTTGGATTTTTAGTAGAGACGGGGTTCCACCATGTTAGCCAGGCTGGTGTCAAACTCCTGACCTCGTGATCCACCTGCCTCAGCCTCCCAAAGTGCTGGGTTTACAGGCATAACCCACTGTGCCCAGCCAAGTTTTAAGTTTTTTAAGTTGGATTACTGGCTTTAGAGTGGAGTCCTAGGGTGGAAGAACAGGGCCAGGAAAGCCTGCAATTTCTAGAGCCTAATAAGCAGGCACAGTTGGAAGGGAAAAACAGATCCCATTTTTACACCAGATCCTGGATCCTAAAAAGAACAGAGCCTTAGATTTTGAGGAGGATCTATCCATTTCCAATTCCTGAGGTTCCATGAGGAAAAGGGATTTTTTTCCAAAACAGGTCTCTGGAGCCTCCTGTTTTTCCCAAGGAGTCCCAGGCTGTTAGAGCTTTAATATCCAGTTTTAATTAAGCTGACTTTTAACTATAGTGCTCTTTTTAAAATTCCTTTTAAATCTTTTATTATGCAGCCTTGCCTAGGCCAAATGCACAGTATTTCTGTGCTCAGAGAAAGGAAAATTTAAGATGGTTCATGGAGGGGAAGAGAATCAACAAATGGTAAGGATTACACAGATATCAAACCAGAAAGTACTCATTTCCTAAGGGAATTGAACCCTGAACCTGGGCCTCCATTATGAAAAGGGAAAGCATGGCCACATGGTTATAAGGTCAGGCTCCCAAGGACATGACTGACCAGTTTTCTGGGCCATCTTGAACAGTGGGTTTATGGTGTCCTAGACACATGCTTTATCCTAAGGTACTCCCTTTCACGACAGAACAATACAGAAAGACACATAAAGCACACCAGGTTCACTACAGCTTAAGACCAGCCTCAGAATTCTTTTTTGTGTTAATCAAAACTTTAGAGAGGAGATAAACAGTGATTTTTACCATTTATTTAACCAGTTTTCACAGAGAGAGAAAGGTCAGAGTCCGACTGGTAATAAATTCTTACCCTTTTGCGGGCATGCCAGGCTCCTGGGTTCCCTTTCCCTGAGCAACCCTAGTGACCCTGCTTGCCACACTATAGCCCTGGGGGCCAAGCCACATCATAAAGGAAAATCATCTTTTTTTGTTTTATGGAATCAGGCAAAAGCCTCTCAGTTTTGCAAGTTGCTGCTCAAGGGGTTGCATGGGGTAACCCAATTAACATTTTTCATTCTGGCCAGAGGAAAATATGAGTGACAAAACATAGACATTGGCCACGCTGTTTAGCACCCAATATTGAACTGGCAAGGCTTGCCCTCAGTTGGACCCTGTCATCTTTAATCTATTTTTAACCAAGAGGGACTTTACTGAGGGGAGGCCCTCTAACTCAATCCCATCCTTTACTCAAGTAAAATGTACCCCATTACTTATCCAAAGTCAGCCAATTGGTGCTGCAGTGTATTTCCTTTGGATCAGGATTCCTGTGCCTAATATATAAACTGGAAGGAACTCAGTTTTTCAGAAATTAAGAATTCCGGCTGGGCATGGTGGCTCATGCCTGTAATCCCAGCACTTTGGGAGGCCAAGGCGGGTGGATCACCTAAGGTCAGGAGTTCAAGACCAGCCTGGCCAACATGGCAAAACCCCATCTCTACTAAAAATGCAAAAATTAGCCAGACATGTTGGTGAGTGCCTGTAATCCCAGCTATTCAGGAGGCTGAGGCAGGAGAATCACTTGAACCCAGGAGGTAGAGGTTTCAGTGAGCTGAGATGGTGCCATTGCACTCTAGCCTGGGCGACAGAGCGAGACTGTCTCAAAAAAAAAAAATTGTGAAAAGGTACCCCTGTATAGGGCACTCACCAGGGATGGAGCCTTGTGGGACTGGAAGTCGCCCTGGGTGAGTCAGTGAGTCGGTGAGTGAGTGGTAAGTGAACCTGAAGGCCTAGGGCAGTACTGTGCACTATAGCAGACTTTATAAATGTGTGTACTTAGGCTACACAAATTTATAAAATATATTTTATTTCTTCAATAACAAACTATGTTTAGCTTACTGTAACATTTTTACTTCAGAAACTTTTCAATTTTTTTAACTTTCAACTCTTTTTTTTTTTTTTTTTTTTTTTGAGACAGAGTCTCGCTCTGTCACCCAGGCTGGAGTACAGTGGCGCAATCTCAGCTCACTGCAACCTCCACCTCCAGGGTTCAAGCAATTCTCCTGCCTCAGCCTCCCGAGTAGCTGGGGTTACAGGTGTGCGCCACTATGCCCGGCTCATTTTTGTATTTTTAGTAGAGATGGGGTTTCACCATGTTGTCCAGGCTGGTCTTGAATTCCTGACCTTGTGATCTGCCCGCCTTGGTCTCCCAAAGTGTTGGGATGACAGGCGTGAGCCACCATGCCCAGCCACTTTCAACTCTTTTGTAATAACACTTAACTTAAAACACAAACACATTGTACAATCATACACAAATATTTTCTTTCTTTATATTCTTATTGTATAAACCTTTTTCTATTAATTTTTTTTTTTTTTTTTACTTCTTAAACATTTTTTTCAGAAACTAAGACACAAACACACACATTAGCTGAGACCTGCTACACAGGGTCCCGATCAGTGATATCATTACCTTCCACCTCCAACTCCTGTCCCACTGGAAGGTCTTCAAGGACAGTAACACTAATGGAGCCGTCACCTCCTGTGATGACAATGCCTTCATCTGGAATCCCTTCTGAAGGACCTGCCTGAGGCTGTTTTATCACTAACTTTTTTTTTAATAAGTAGGAGTATGCTCTAAAATAATGATTAAAAAGTAAAATACAGTAAATACATAAACTGGTAATGTTACTGGAAAGGGGTCATGATCCAGATGCCAAGTGAGGATTCTTGGATCTCGGGCAAGAAAGAACTCGAGGCGAATCTGTAGAGTAAAGTGAAAGCAAGTTTATTGGAGAAGCGAAGAAACAAAAGAATGGCCACTCTGTAGGCAGAGTAGCCCTGAGGGCTGCTAGTTGCCAATTTTTATGGTTATTTCTTGATGATATGGTAAATAAGGGATGGATTATTCTTGTCTCCCCTTTTCGACCATGTAGGATAACTTCCTGATGTTGCCATGGCATCTGTAAATTGTCATGGCGCTGGTGGGAGTGTAGCAGTGAGGACGAACAGAGGTCACTCTCATGGCCATCTTGGTTTTGGTGAGTTTTGGCCGACTTCTTTACTGCAACCAGTTTTATCAGCAAGGTTTTTATGACCTGTATCTTGTGCCGACCTCCTAATTTATCCTGTGACTTAGAATGCCTTAACTGTCTGGGAACGCAGCGCAGTAGGTCTCAGCCTTATTTTACCCAGTCCCTACTCAAGATGGATTTGCACTGGTTTCAATGCCTCTGACAGTAACACAGTCGTTTATTAATAGGATCAAGTATTATGTACTGTACATAATTGCATGTGCTGGGCTTTCATCCGACTGGCAGTGCAGTGGGTTTGTGTACACCAGCATCACCACACACAGAGAGGAATGTGTGCGATGACGTCATAGCTGATGTGACGTCACTAGGCGAGGGGGATTTTTAGGTCCTTTTTTTTTTTTGAGACGGAGGCTTACTCTGTTGCCCAGGCTGGAGTGCAGTAGCACGATCTCGATTCACTGTAACCTCCGTTTCCCGGGTTCAAGCGATTCTCCAGCCTCAGTCTCCCGAGTAGCTGGGATTACAGTCTCACGCCACCACACCCAGCTAATTTTTGTATTTTTAGTAGAGACGGGGTTTTGCCATGTTGGCCAGGCTGGTCTTGAACTCCTGACCTCAGGTGATCCACCCGCCTCGGCCTCCCAAAGTGCTGGGATTACAGGCGTGAGCCACCACGCCCGGTCCCATTATCATCTTATGGGACCACAGTCATAGATGCAGCTCGTTGCTAAGTGAACTGTGATGCAAGGCACATGCACGTGCTTAGTTCTGTTGCTACACAGAGTGTATAGGAAAAAACTGGTTTGTCCCTCCCATCCCCGATTCCAGCTTCAGTTCCACCAGTCCTAGAGGTGTGCACTGAACCGGCTTTTTAGGACACTCTCCCGCTCCCACCGCCGCCATAGACACATATCTTAAACACACACATGTCATTGGGAAAATGATTAAAAACAAAATCTGTCAACCCAGAAAACCTCTCCACAAAGGTAACAGGAAGTTAGTTTTGCTACAACTAGACAGCAGTGTGCATCACAGACAGTCGGCTAAAGAGATTGCAAAGAAAAAGAGCTTTCATAGCCTGGCAGACACCACCCACTCCATACGTGCTAATTTCCCAAATGCCTCCTGTCTTTTGACAAGAAGTTTACTTCCTGAAGCGAGCACCTGGGCCTCACACTCCTGAGGATGGGGGAGATCCGGCGCCACCTCCTGGCTGTTTCCAAGGCGGAGAGAAGGAGCCCGGGGCTGCAAAACCTGTCAGAGGATCCCAGACTGAGGCGGACTCAGGGAGGTTTCCCACGCCTAAGATTTCATCCCTAACCAATCAGCGATCACCACTCCAAAACCCTTGAAAGCCCCCCCCAACTCCTCAGCGAGATTGAGTGATAACTCAATCTCCAGGGTGGCCGGCCTCGGGTCATAAACTATTTCTTTACTGCAATAATAATGATACAATAAAATAAATTTACATACATCTCAAGGAGACAGAGGTAGCGTTTACAATTTCAGCTTTATTAAAGGAAGTAGGAAGTGGGAGGGGGTGCCTTATTCCCTTTCTTTGCACCGGAAAAAATACAATTTTTTTCTCTAGATTTGTGTTTACCAACAACACACACACATACTCATATACACACATATGTACATATACCCCATTCACACACAGATATACACAATATATGTACACTCATGAACACACACACACACACACGTATGCACACCAGTTTGGGCCATAGTACCAAAAGACAGTTCCAAATTCCATAATCCTGAAAGCTGAAATCCTGAAAGATCAAAATCCCTAGAGTATAGAATCTTGAAAATCAAAATTTCAAAAGATAAAAATCCCCGAAACGTAATTCTGGAAAAAATAATTTTAGAATTCTCTAAAAGACATTTATTAACATTTTTAAAAGGGGATTTATCTGCGCAATAAATAAATGTGCCTGTTTACACCGAGAACAGATCTTTCCCCTGATCCAGTCAGACTCACGCACTCGTCTCCCCTGGAAACGCGCTCACAGACACCCCCAAAATAATGCCTACCAGGTTTCTCAAGTCTACAGCAGAGCCAGGCTTGTCAACTTGGCACCCAAACACATCTCCTTAAACCACACTGAATTTCCAAACAAAGATAACAAAGCAATAGTTCCACCCAACATGCAACCAACATGATGCAATGATCCTGAAATGCACTAATCCTTTTCCTAGAATTTGACTTTGAGGATTTCAACATCTGGAGTTTTGATCTTTCAGGATTTCAACACTCGAGATCGTGGCATCCAGGATTGTGTCATGGGAGATTATGATTTTCACCAATACATACCCACAACTATACATACACACGTATACACACCTGCCACACACAATGTGCCCACACTCATCCATATAGCACCCCCTCATACATTCACACATGGATGTGTGTGTTCAGGGCCTTGTCCACACCCCACCAGCAGAGCCAGGGTGTGAGCTGAGTTCTTCACCTGCCTTTGGCACTGGGCATTGCACCATGGAGGCTGTCTCTCCTCAGTGGAGGGGAGGAGGATGGTAATGATGCGCTTTATCTATATTAATGCAGGGGACCCTTACATAGCCCACAAGCACTAGCACAGCCTCATTTTACAGATGGGGCAACAGGGCCCAAAGGAACTCAGCTAGCTTTGCTTTACTGTGTGTAGGCAGCCACGCATTCTGCTGTGTGTGTGCACCAGGGCATATTTCACCAGTCCCACTCTCTGCTGTGCAAGATTCCGGCACTTACATCTGTAATCCCAGCACTTTGGGAGGCTAAGGTGGACCGATCGCTTGAGGTCAGGAGTTTGAGACCAGCCTGGCCAACATGGTGATACCCTGTCTCTACTAAAAAATACAAAAAATTAGCCTGTGTGGTGGTACACACATCTGTAATCCCAGCTACTTAGGAGGCTGAAGCACAAGAACCACTTGAACCCAGGCGGCAGAGGCTGCAGTGAGCTGAGGTCATGCCACTGCACTCCAGCCTGGGTGAGGGTGACAGAGTGAGACCCTGTCTCAAAAAAAAAAAAAAAAAAAGATCCCGGCACAGAAGGGATATCCCGAGGTCCCAGCCTGCGCTCTCTGAGCAGGCCAGAGGAAAGAGCACCAGACCCAGAGGCAGGGTGGGTTTGCATCTGGTTCTGCTCTAGCTCCAGGTGTGGCCTTGCATAAGCCTTCTTTCTTGGGCCTATGGTATGTGAGGCTGGGCTCCAAGGGCTGCTGGCTCAGATGCCCCTGAAATGGACAGCCATCAGCACCCAAGCAGTGGGCCACCCAGCATTGCCCTCAGTGGCTCAGGAGGCCAAGGAACGTTCCTGTCGCAACTGAGGGAAGCCGCTGGCCTTAAGAGCATGGAGGGCCTCTGCTTCCTGAGGATACAGTTTGTCCTTGTCCCTCCCTTGTCCTGATCCCTCTCTCCTTTTAGTTATTAATTCTGGCTCAGAGTTTATATTATCATAAACCGGTGTAAACACAAGGCACAGCTGTGCCATATGGTAATCTATGGTTACCTTCCCTCTCCTATGTAGCATTTTATTTTCTCTAGGGTTAATAATCATATGATGATTATTATTTTTCCTTGCACTTCACCTCTGTGTTCCGAGAGACTCCGGAGCAGTGCCTGGAATTTGGTAGATGCGCAGCAAAGGTGTATGGCAAAGAGGAGCGAGTGCTGGCATCGGAGCCGAGCTGGGGCACGCAGGTGACTGGATGCTGCTCTCTGTGCATCTCCAAATGCCTCTTCTCCACAACAATCTGTGAGACTCTCCTCATCCCTTTTTTGTTTTGCAGAGGAGGAGACTGAGGCACAGGCAGAACCAAGGTCACACAGTGAGTGCCTGGCAGAGCAGGTGGTACTGGGTGTGGTCCTGCCTCAGCCTCCCAAGTAGCTGGAACTACAGGCATGTGCCACCGTACTGGGCTAATTTTTGTATTTTTTATAGAGATGAGGTTTCACCATATTGCCCAGGCTGGTCGTGAACACCTGGGCTCAAGTGATCTGCCCGTCTTGGCTTCCCAAAGCACTGCGATTACAGGCGTGAGCCACTTCACCCAGCCTTGTTCCATTCTTTTTAACAGGTCTACAATAGTCTGTGAATTAGGACAACGTGACTTATTTAGCTAATCTGTTATTGATGCTCATTTAGGCTGGACAAATTCTTTCAAAGGTAGCTCAGCCCAAACTCATTAGCAATTAGAGAAATGCAAATCAAAATAACAAGGAGGTGTCATTTTACAGCTATCCTATTGACTAACATTAGAAAGGTGGGTAATGGCCGGCGCGGTGGCTCATGCCTGTAATCCCAGCACTTTGGGAGGCTGAGGCGGGCAGATCACGAGGTCCGAAGATCGAGACCATCCTGGCTAACACAGTGAAACCCTGTCTCTACTAAAAATACAAAAAAAAAAAAAAAAAAAAAAAAAAAGCTGGGCGCGTTGGCGGGCACCTGTAGTCCCAGCTACTCGGGAGGCTGGGGCAGGAGAATGGCGTGAACCCGGGAGGCGGAGCTTGCGGTGAGCCGAGATGGTGCCGCTGCACTCCAGCCTGGGCGACAGAGTGAGACTCTGTCTCAAAAAAAAAAAAAAAAAAAGGTGGGTAATGCAGAAAGTGGAAAGGTGTGGAGCCAGTGGACCCTTGTGTCTTGAGGGCAAGTGTGGCCAGCGCAGCCATCCTACAGAGGGAGCTGGCAAACCATGGCCAATTAAGTCTGAGCCAGCCACCACTGCCCTGGGGACGTACCCAGGAGAGAAACGAATTCACACCCTAGCCTTCCAGGAGGCATGTGTGAGCATGTTATTGCTGCATTGTTTAGAGGGGAACTGGGGACAATGTGAGTGTTGGTCCATAGGGGACTGAGCTCTTGAGATGTGGTTCATCTGAAGTGAGACGTGCTGTGAGTGTAAAATACACACTGGATTTCGGGGACCTAGTATGAAAAAAAGAATGCACGATATCCCATCATATTTGTATATTTTATATAGTTATTATATGCTTATATATTTATATTGGTTATGGGTTCAAATGACAATATTTTGGTTATATTGAGTCAGATAAAGTATATTATTTATAAAAGTATGTAAATTAACTATAATTAATATAAATTAATTGCACTCATTTCCTTTTACTTTTTAAAATGTGGCTACTGCATACTTTAAAGTCGCAGACGTGGCTGGGATTCTGCTTTCCTGGACAGCACTGGGTGAGAATTCTGCTCCATGAGGAGCCCGGAGAGACTGATCACAGGATCCGTGGGTGGAGTTTCGACAGGCAGGGAGCAGGGACCCAGCCAGAGGCTGGGCAGGTCTGGGCCCTCCTTCCCCACGGAAACCGCTAGGAACAGCCTGAAATAGCTACCGGGCACTCTGGAAGGCAGTCACTGTGTGGGCAGGGGGTGGACCCTGCTACGGAGAAGAATACACTAGGGGGAGGGAGAGGACCTGCAGCGTTGAATCCTGAGCGCATGGGTGGGGAAGGGCCCCGAGAAGGGGGAAAGACTTGGGAGAGGTGCAGGAACTGGTATTGGGATGTCTGGGGGAAGAAGGTTCTAGAGGAAGAACAGCTAAGCCGCACATGGCGGCGGAGGACCAACCAGAGGAATCCGGAGAGTGGGGTGAGGTGGGGCCAGAGTGCTGACGGCCTTACACACCTCCCTAGGGACCTCGGCCTCTGGGAGCCGGAGCCCTGGGACCTGCTGCACCGTCCAAGATTCCCTCTGGCTGCAGTGCGGGAAACCAGGGAAGGTGGGAGGCCTCTGCCATGGTCCAGGCAACAAACAAAGGTGGCCGGGGCCTGGCTCTGAACGGGCTTTGCGGATGCTCCACCTGGCGTCCTCTTCAAGGAAGGTTTGTTGCCCGGCTGTTGGCAGGCTTCGCCCAGAGGTCAGGGCTGGTCCTGGCTCAGGACCCATCCGGAGCTCCCTGAGGGGCCGCAGCCCTGTTCATTCCTCCCTCAGCCCATCCCACCTCCTCCTCAGCCCTTCTGCAAGCTCCCTGCCCACCCAGCTCCATCCCAAAGACGGCTTCCCACCCCCCTCTTCCAAGTGCCCAGGGGGCGGGGGGAAGGGGGTGGTGGCGGGGAAAAAAAGGGGGAGTGCCTGGGAAGGAGGGTCAGGATGACGCTGAGACTTTGTCCTGAGCTGCCATCAGCTGAGCTGCCTGGGGGCCTCTCCTCCCGCCTGCCTCCCAGCTGGGGATGAGGTGGCCTCAGCTCCTTTCTTCTACTTTTATTGATCACAGAGGCACGATGGCCCCAAGGCTGGCATCGTGTGTACAACAAGGGCTGGGAAATGTGTCTGCCTGAGAGGAGGGCCAGGCATAGCTGGGTTTCTCAGCAGGTGTGTAACACTCCTTAGCAGGCTGGGCTCTGTTTTGTTGTGTTAAAGGGTAAAGCCCGGTGCAAAAGGCCCCGGTCGCCGGTCCCTCTGGTCCCAGCATTTGGCCCTTGCAGCAGGCAGCAATTTGGGTGGGCTGCTTCTTGGAGGGTCGCCAGGGGGTGCCCCTCCCCTCAGTGCGCCTGGGAATCACAGTGACAGCGTTGGTCCTCTGCCTCTCAACCCCATCCCTACTGCCAGAGGGCAGAAAGCCCAGGTTGTGCCTAGGTGTTTTTTTTTTCTTTTTTCTTTTTTCCGGCATTTGTGATCCCTGCTTCCTGACCCAGCAACAGGGGATGGCCCATTCCTTTGTAGGTTTGCTTACTGTATGGAAACGCAAACAAATGGGGCTGCTTGCCCCTTTTTCTGTGTCCCCACTCCCTGGGAAGGAGCCTGCACTACCTTCCTCTCCCTCGCTTCATCCTTCCCAGGGCTGCAAACTGATACCCCGTAGGCCAAATGTGGCAAGAGGGCTGTGTAGTATTAAATTTGTAAGAATTCATTGTCAACACTTAAAAATTGGAATGTTTGGCCAGGCGGGGTGACTCATACCTGTAATCCCAGCACTTTGGGAGGCTGAGGCAGGGTGATCACTTGAGATCAGGAGTTCGAGATCAGCCTAGCCAACATGGTGAAACTCCATCTCTTCTAAAAATACAAAAATTAGCCGGGCATAGTGGCAGGCACCTGTGATCCCAGCTACTTGGGAGGCTGAGGCAGGAGAATTGCTTGAACCCGGGAGGCGGAGGTTGCAATGAGTGAAGATCGCACCACTGCACTCCAGCCTGGGGACAGAGCGAAACTCTGTCTAAAATAATAATAATAATAATAATAATAATAATAATAATAATAATAATATTGGAATGTTTGCCTTGGGCAATGCCATCTTGGGGTCAGAAACCTCGAAATGGGATCTCTTGGGACAGACCCAGGCATGGCTTCCAATGAACATATGGGCGTGGCATAGTGTGGTGGGTCAGGACTCCGATCCCAGAGTTTGAATCCCGGCTCCAGCAGTGACTAGCTGTGCATCTTGGGCAAGGGACGTGATCTCTCTGTGCCTCTGTCTCCTCACTTGTGACTTGGAATTATTGTTAGAACTGCCTCTTAGAGTTCTGAAGATCAATTGAAACAATGCCTGCCCCAGGTGTAGCGCAATCGCTGCTGCATGAAACTCAGTCATAGGTGTGCCACAGCTGCTCTGAGCATGCAGCACTGCCTTCTCCACCTGGTCCCTGTGGCACCTGCGTCTCTGATCCCAGGCCTAAATGTCTCCTAGGCCTATCTCTGTCCATCCATCGCCACTGCCTGGTTTTGAGGCGGCGCTGACCCCAGGACGGGGCTGGGTAGAGGCAGGCTGGCCCTCCGGCAGCAGCTGTGTGTATTCAGTCCTGGCAGTTGGGCTCTGGTCCAGCCCCTGTTCTTGCCTGCTGTGGGTGCCTGACTGCCCTTTGCTTGAGAAATCCAGTATTTTAGGATTTAGGCTAAGAAAAGCATCAGAGTTGGAGGCAAAGCTTTATACGTAAAGAAGTTTGCTGTGGTGTTACTTGCAAGTGCAGGAAATCAGAAACCAGCGGAACAACAAGCATGAAGATGACCATGATGAGGATGACGGTGGTGACGATGGTAGCATGTCAGCATGCACCGTCAGCTCCCCTCTCCAGGAGCCAGCCCATGTGCTCTGGTGTAGGACCCTTTGAGTCCTCACAACAACACTAGAAGGCAGCTCTATGTCACAGATGAGGAAGTTGAGGCACAGAGAGGGTGAGTTGCCTGACTGAGAACCTCAATCCCCAACCACCCTGCCTCACACGTCTCTGAATGTGGCCGGATTCCAAGAACCCACATGAATCCACGAGGCAGTCTACGCAGCTGCAGAGAGTGCTTATGAGGAGGAGAAGGTGCCCAATGTGATGTGGAGGTTATATTTTATGCTCCTTTTATTCTACTGAAAATTTCAAATGTACATAGAAGTAGAGGGACTGTATAATGCGTGTACCCAGCATCTGGCCCCTAAAGTCATCATCCTTGGCCAGTCCTGTTTCACCTGCACCCACCCATGTTCAAGTCTTCCAGTCCATGAACATGGCGTGTCTCTCTATTTGGGCCCTTAGAAATCACTGTCAGTAATACCTTGCAGTTTTCAGTGAATAGTTCTTGCTCATATGTTGTTAAATGTATCCCTTATTATTTTTTGTGTTTTTGATTCCATCTAAGGGCTAAAAGTTTTAAATTTCATTTACTAGTGGGTCATTTCCAGTTTATAAAAATACATTTCTTTGTAGATAGACCTTGTATTTTATGATCTTTCTAAATTTATTAACTGGTTTCACTAATTTCTGACCCTTTTCTAATATAAGCATTTATTTATTTATTTTGAGACGGAATCTCGCTCTGTTGCCCAGGCTGGAGTTCAGTGTCATGATCTCAGTTCACTGCAGCCTCTGCCTCCCGGTTTCAAGTGATTCTCCTGCCTCAGCCTCCCGAGTAGCTGGGATTGCAGGCGTGTGCTACCCTGCCCGGCTAATTTTTGTATTTTTAGTGGAGAAGGGGTTTCACCATGTTGGCCAGGCTGGTCTCGAACTCCTGGACTCAAGTGATCCAACCACCTCGATCTCTCAAAGTGCTGGGATTACAGGTGTGAGCCACCGCACCCTGCCATGATGTAAGCATTTAAAGTTGTAAAGTTCACTATAAAAACTGATTTAGCTGCTTCTCATAAATTTGATAGGCTACGTTTTTATTTTTACAGAGTTAAAAATATTTCTAATTTCTCTTATGATCTCTTCTTTGACCCATGGGTAATTAAAAGTGCTTTGTTCAATTTCCAATTGTGAGGGATTTAAATGATATCTAATTGTTACTGATTTCTTTTTAAACTATATTTTAGTTAGAGAACATACTCTGCCTGTTTTTAGCGTTTAACATTTATGAAACTTGTTTTGTGGTCCAGCATATGGTTTATTTCGATGATGGCTCTATGTGCGCTGAGAATGGACATTCTGCCATTGTTAAGCGTGAGATGGTTAAATTGGCTGACCGTGTTCGAGTCTTCTGTGTCCTTATTGGAAGAGGAGTGTGGGAATCATGCATGAGAATTGTGGATTTGTCTGTTTTTCCTTTCAATTCTGCGTGAGAATCACACATGAGAATTGTGGGTTTGTCAGTTTTTGTTTCATGCGTTTTGAAGCTTTGTGATTAGGCAGATGCACATTTAGGATTATGATGTCTTTGTGATAAATTCACACCTTTATCATTAAGAAACATCTCTATCCCTGGTAATGTTTGCCCTGAAGTCTACTTTGTCCGACAAGAATATAGGCACTCCGGCTTTTGAAAAAATGACTAGTGCTTGCATGATATATCTTTTCTATCTTTTTATAGTTTATTTGTGTCTTTATATTTAAAGTAAGTTTCTGGTAGAGAGCATACAGGTAAGTCTCACTTTTTTTGTCCAGTCTGATATCTGATTTTCCAAGTCCCTCGATTATTTATACTGAATGCAGGTATCCTTATGTCTGTATTTATACCTGCCATCCTGCTCTTTTTTGAGACGGAGTCTCACTCTGTCGCCCAGGCTGGAGTGCAGTGGCGCGATCTTGGTTCACTGCAACCTCTGCCTCCCGCGTTGAAGTGATTCTCCTGCCTCAGCCTCCCGAGTAGCTGGGATTACAAGCACGTGCCACCACGCCCGGCTAATTTTTGTATTTTTAGTAGAGATGGGGTTTTATTATGTTGGTCAGGCTGGTCTCGAACTCCTGACCTTGTGATCTGCCCGCCTCAGCCTCCCAAAGTGTTGGGATTACAGGCGTGAGCCACCGCACCTGGCCTTCAACAACAAATTGTTAACAGTTTTACCTTCCAGAGCCAATTATGTTCCAAAGAGATTCAAAATGAGAAAAGGGTTTTCATATGAGTGATGCATTTTCCATTTCCCAAACTCTTCATTCTCTCCTGTAGTTCCAGGCTTTTCATCCGATATCATTCGCCTTTGGTGTGAAGAACTCCTGTCAACATTTCCCGTATTGCAGGTCTGCCGCTGGCAAAATCTCTAGCTTTGGTTTGTTTGGAAAAGTCTCTATTTTGTCTTCTTTGGTTGCAGGATATAGATTTGTAGATCCCCGGCTTTTTCTTGCAGATGCTGTTTCATTGTCTCCTTGTCTGCAGAGTTTTTGAGGACGTGGCCATTCTTGCTTCTGTTTCCCTTTACCTCGCATTCTCAGCCATTTCATTAGGATGTGCCTTTGCTAGTTGTCTCAGGCTGGCTTCCCTGGAAGCAGATGAAGGAGTGGAGTCTGGGGCACCAGGTGTTTCACACTTGTGACAGGAGGAGGCAGAAGCAGGCTTGGCAGTGGAGTTCAACCTCGGTCAGGCCTGCCCACCTCTGCCCACCTGTTGGGGACTCCAGAGCAAGGCCTTCCATCAGCATGTTCTGTGCTGAGCTGAAATGGCCAGATCTTCACATTCCCTGCCTGCTCAGTCACCTGGGCTGTCTGGGAAGGTGTGGCCTTTAGCCAGTGGCTCTCTCTGCAGGTGAGGGATGGGGAGGAGCTGGTGGCTGAGGGCGTTCTGCAGCCTGCGCTCCCCACAGCCTCTGGGCAAGTCCTTCCAGGAGGGGATGCTGAGGGACAAAGCTTCCTGCTTCTCAGGCGGGGGTCCTTGAGCTCCCTGGAACTCTGCATCTATGATTTTCATCAAATTTAGAAGATTGTCTTCCAATGTTTTTCTTGTCTCCTTCCTGGTACCCTAATGATACATGTATTGTTTGATAGTATCTCACAGGTAACATTTCCAGTTCTGTTCATTTTATTTCAGCATTTTTCTCCCAGTGCTTCAGTTCAGTTTCTGTTGCATTGTTTTCAGGTTCATTGATCTTTCCTTTGTCAGTGTGTGATATGCTGTTAATCTCAGTCAATACGTTTCTCATTGCAGGTATTGTATATTTCACCTGTAGAAATTCCATTAGGTTCTTGGTTATATTTTCCATATTTCTCCTCATTATGTTCATGTTTTTTTCTTTAAATTCTTGAGCATATTGAGCATATGTCTAATAGCTTCTTATTTTATTATTAGTTTTTTTTTTTTGGAGACAGATTCTCGCTCTGTCCCCCAGGCTGGAGTGCAGTGGCGTGATCTCGGCTCACTGCAAGCTCCGCCTCCCGGGTTCACGCCATTCTCCTGCCTCAGCCTCCTGAGTAGCTGGGACTACAGGCACCTGCCACCATGCCTGGCTAATTTTTTGTATTTTTTTGGTAGAGACGAGGTTTCACCATATTAGCCAGGATGGTCTTAATCTCCTGACCTCATGATCCACGCAACTTGGCCTCCCAAAGTGTTGGGATTACAGGCGTGAGCCACTGCACCCGGCTATTATTAGTTTTTGAGACAAGGTATTGCTCTGTCATCCAGGTTGGAATGTAGTGGCATGATCATGGCTTACTGCAGCCTCAATCTCCTGGGCTCAAGCAATCCTCCCACCTCAGACCCCCAAGGAGCTGGGACTACAGGCACATGCCACCACTCCTGGCTAATTAAAAAAAATTTTTTTTGAGACGGAGTCTCGCTCTGTCACCAGGCTGGAGTGCAGTGGTGTGATCTCGGCTCACTGCAACCTCTCCTCCTGGCTTCAAGCAATTCTCCTGCCTCAGCCTCCTGAGTAGCTGAGATTACAGGCACATGCCACCATGCCCAGCTAATTTTTGTATTTTTAGTAGAGACGGGGTTTCACCGTATTGGCCAGGATGGTCTCCATCTCTTGACCTCATGATCCACCCTCATCAGCCTCTCAAAGTGCTGGGATTACAAGCATGAGCCACTGCATCTGGCCAATGTTTTAAATTTTTTGTAGAGATAGGGTCTTGCTCTGTTGCCCAGGCTGGTCTCAAAGTCCTATCCTCAAGTGATCCTCCTGTTTCAGCCCTCCAAAGTGCTGGGATTACAGGTCTGAGCCACTGCACTTGGCCAGTAGCTGTTCTAAAGTCTTTGTCTCCTAATTCCATCATCTCTGCATTCCTGAGTCTGTTTCTATGGACTGATTTTTCTCCTGGTAGTGGCACGCACTTTCCTGCTCCTTTGGACGTCTGGTTATTTTTGAATGGCCATCGTGGTGAGTGCTACATGCCCTTGTTTTTCTTTACACATGGCTGGGCTTGGTTCTGGCAGGCATTACATTTCTTGTGAATCAGCTTGGCTCTTTCGAGGCTCTTTTTTGTCTCCAATACAGTGGGTTGAGAGTGGCCTTTCCTCTCTGGCTTGTCTCCTAACCCTGCATGATCCCTGGGAAGTTTTCAGCTTAAGTTCCCAGCTGTTCTTTGTCCAGCTCAGCAGAATTTGCCCTACGCACACACAGCTTAGCGTTCAGCAACAGACCCAGGCGGACCCCTGTGCTGAATGGGCAGCTCCATGTCTGCCCATTCTGTGTCTCCCCTTCTGTGGTCTGTCTTGCAAACTCCAGCTCATCACTTTCCCCGGTGCCAGTCCTTGCTGTGCTTGGGCTTCTACCACCTACACTGAGGCAGGGAGCTGGGCCAGCCATTGAACCATTCTGTTTGCTTTCCTTCTCTCAGAGATCACAGTCCAGAGACTGTGCCTGTTGTACAATGTCTAAAAACAGTTGTTTCAAATAATTTGTCCAGTTTCTAGGTATTTACGGCAGGAGGGCAAGTCTAGTACAGTTATTCTCACAGGACTGGAGGTGGAAGCCCTTTAAATATATACATTTTTAAAATCGTGCTAAGGAAGAGTCCATGTTTTTCTATTTTATTAAGAGTTTTAAAAATTGAGAATGTATGTTGAATTTCTCAAAATCTCTTTTTGCTATCTATTGAAATGATCATTTTTTTCAATCTGTTAATATGATGTTTTACATTAAGATTTCCTAAAATTTGAATATTTTACTCCCAATTGTAAGGCATTTCATATACATTTATTATTATTATTTTTTTCTTGAGAAAGAGTCTCGCTCTGTCACCCAGGCTGGAGTGCAGTGGTGCAATCTCCGCTCACTGCAACCTCCGCCTCCCAGGTTCAAGTGATTCTCCTGCCTCAGCTTCCAGAATAGCTGGGATTACAGGTGCACGCCACCATGCCTGGCCGATTTTTATATTTTTAGTAGAGACGGGGTTTTGCCATGTTGGCCAGGCTGATCTTGAGCTCCTGATCTCAGGTGAACTGCCTCTCTTGGCCTCCCAAAATGCTGGGATTATAGGCATGAACCCCCATGCCCAGCCTACATTGCTGTTTTTTTATCAACACCATAATCCTTAAAGTGGAGCCATTTTAAGGATGAGATGGGATGTTGTTTTTCTTCATTTAGAGACAAGAAAGTGGCCCAGGAAGGGCCTGCAATGAGGAGGTGGCCAGGACACAGAGACAGGTGCCATGGGCAGCCCGCCTTTAGAGCTGCACTCTCCCTCCTGGGCCCCTAGGACAGCTTCCACAGCCAACCTTAGGAATCCGGGGTCCTAGAATGTTCTGCCAGTTCCTGCCCTAGAAGGCTTCCATTTGGGGACAGCCTCGACTCCTGACAGATCAGCCCTGCATTCACATGGGGTTGGGGGTTGGGTGACCTTTACTTTGGAGCTTGTTCAAGACCCAGAGAAGCAAGGCTTCTCTGTTCAGTGGTCACCTCTAGGCTGAAACAGAGTTCAGAGACTTCTTCAGTTGGGAAGGGAGATAATGAAAACCACATTTGCAGGTTTTCTAGCTGCTTTTTTCTCAGTAATGCATGTTGGGAAGACATCCAGGTGGCTGGGAAGACTGGGATTGTGAAGTCACGGCTGGTACACTTGGGCAGACAACCTCATCCTTCTAAACCCTGGTCTCTCCATTTGTAAAATGGGAATAATTATCCCAGTCTTTTGTGGGCAACTGTGATGGCAGCATGAACCCACACATATGGCAACTCCAGAATGCTGCTTAGATAAGAGAGGCATTTGCCATCTACAGAACAAGGACACCAGATCTCGATCTCTGCCCTCTGCCTGGGCCTCCTCTTCCCTTCCAGATCCTCAGTGGCTGGTGAGCAGAAGCTGACATGCACGGATGTGTCGGTTGCCTCTATTACGAGTATTGACTCAGTTGAGTGCAAACACAGCAAGCCCATGGGGTCAGCAGGGAGCTGATGCCTGTCTGGCTCACGTGTCATGGCAGCATTCCTGGGTGCTGAGGGACAGAAGAGTGTTCAGTTCTGCAGTTGTACAGGCAGTGGCTTGTCCTCAACAGCTGCTGCCCCTGGCTTGCTTCAGGGACAACAGAGGACTCCACTGCAAATATCTAAGTGGCCAGGTCTTAGGCCTCACAGAGGGGGCAGCGGCTTTTCTGTGGTGGAAGCTATGGGTTCCCAGAATCATAAGTCTTGGCTTTGGGGGAAGAAGGAGTCCATCCTTCTGCCATGGAGACTGGGCTGCCTCAGACGGGTGGCTTCCCTGGAGCAGAGCTCCTAGCTGGCTTCCAGAATTGCTCAGAAAATGTATCAGTGAAAGACTTTTTATTGCAGTGAAATATACAAAACATAATATTTACCATCTTAACCATTTAAAATGTATAATTCAGTGGCATTAAATACATTCACATTGTTGTGCAGCCGCACCACTGTCCATCCACGGAAGTCTTTTCATCTTGCAAACCCCATCCCCGTTAAACAATAGCTCCCCATTCCTCCTCCCCAGCCCCTGACCCCCACCATTTGCTTTCTATCTCTATGAATTTGACTACTCTGTGTACTTCGTACAAGTGGAATCATATAATATCTGTCCTTTTGTATCTGGCTTATTTTAAGTTTCATCCATGTTGTAGCATGCGTCAGAATTTCGTTCCCTTTTAAGGCTGAATCATATTCCATTGCACGGACAGGCGCATTTTGTTGATCCATTCATCCGTCGGTGGATGCTTTGTTGCTTCTACCTTTTGACTGCTGTAAATAGTGCAACTATGAATAGTGGTGTACAAATCTGTTTGAGTCTCTGCTTTCAATTCTTTTGGGAATACACCCAAAGTGGAATTGCTGGAACATATGGTAATACTAATTTAAGTTTTTGAGGAACCGCCAAATTAGTTTCCACAGTGGCCGCAACATTTTACATTTTACATTCCTACTGGCAGTGCACAAGGGTTCCAATTTCTCCACATCCTCACCAACACTTATTTTTTTAAAAATTTTATGTGCATGTTAAAAGGCCAAACAGTTCAAGTGGATGTACACTGAGAAGTAAACCACCTTCCTACCTTCCTACCCCTGTCTGTATCTCTCAGTGTCTTGGTTCCTGTGTGTTATTCTAGAAGGTTCTGTGCATATAAAAGCTCATTTGCATATATATCTCCTACCTTTTTACACAAATGGTAGTTTCCGGTACAGACACCTCCTCATCCTGTTTACTGGACTTAACAGCTTATCCTGGAGTGAGTCCCACAGCTCTATCCATCAGCCTCGTCTGTTTTAGTTCCTGCAGGGTATGCATGGCACAGCTACGGCATCATTTGTGGATGGGCACTGAGCTTGTTTCCAGACTTTGCTGGCATGTTTTGGTGATGCCTTTATGTGCCCGTGGGAGTCTGTCTGTAGGATGCTTTTACAGAAACAGCTGCTGGGCAAAGGGTATGGGTGTTTAAAACATATCCTGTTGTCAAATTGTCCCCCAGAGGTTTTGCCAATTCCTACTGCACCCATGGCATCTGAGAAGGCCTGTCTCCCACCCCCAGCCCAGCCTCTGCCATTTCAGCCCCTGCCCTTTCAGCCCCTCTATCTTGGGGCAGATAGCAGGGCCTAAATGATCAAGGCCATGCCCGCTTCCCCAGCTTGGGGGCAATCCTGAGCCCCCCTGGGATCCCTGTGCCAGCCCCGTGCTGAGAAGCAACAAATATTGTCAAATGAACTGGCAGTGATGTTTGAAGCTATGGAGGAAAATGGCTTCTGAGGGCCAGGTCAGTTGTAGGCTTTAAATACAAGGGAATGGAGGCTTCACATCTCAGCAGAGTAAATCAGGCTTTCTGGGAACAGCCAACCCTGGGGCCCCAGGACAGATGGGGGTAACTCATACCCACTCCTTGACCAAAAGTGACAGTGAACTGGCCTGGTTATGCAGGCAGCAAAGCCAGGAGAGAAGTGGCCCAGGGCTTAGGGACCAGACTCCCACTTTCAGAGTGAATGACGGCCCAGCCTGATCTGGTTATCTGTCCCACAGGCAGCAAGCATCTGATTAATAGGTCACTTCATGGCTAATTAATCACACTCCTTTTTCTTCGAATTTTGGTGTTCCTAGCCATGTGGGGCCATCTGAACAAACAACAGGGGTTGATCAGGACACACACTGCTGGGCTCAGCGGGCGTCAGCATTGCAGGGATGGGCTCCTTGTTAGCTCCAGTGGTCTCACGCCAAAGTCCCTGTCCAGTCCCCCAATGCTGGTGAGGCTGATGACCTCCCAGGAGAGCATCTTTAAGGTCCTGTCTGGCCTAGAGTATCTATTATGCTAAGGAACCAATGAGACCTTTTAGACACCCCTTTATTTTAACACATTTTAAATGTCAAACACTTAGCATTTTACAAACTAGTACATGCATGGAAAAATTCCAAAAAGCTGATAATTACACAAGTAGCCCCTGCCCCTGCCTCTGTCCAGGCCCCTTCCTCAGAGGCAGCCAAGTGACATTTTTAGCTAGGTTTTGTTGTTGTTGTTGTTGTTGTTGTTGTTTGGTGGTTAACCCATGTTTCTAAACAATAGGTTTATGTTGCTATTTCTTGGTTTGTTGATCTTGGGTGTTATAGGTTGGTTGGCTGACGATTTCTTTCTTACACCGCATTCCTCCTCCACCCTCCCCAAAGAGTTAATTTTTTTGAGTTATATGGTGCCTAGATATTATGGCTATGTAAATATTCATTTCAGACCTAAGTGGTGCACTATGATTGTTTCCATTTGTTTAAACCCCCCCCTTTTTTTTTTTTGAGACAGGCTCTCACTCTGTCACCCAGGCTGGATTGCAGTGGTGCAATCACAGCTCACTGCAGCCTTGACTTCCCGGGCTCAAGCGATTCTCCCACCTTAGCCTCCCAAGTGGCTGGCACTGTGGGTGCGCACCACCATGCCCAGCTAATTTTTTTATTTTTTGTAGAGACCTGGTTTCTGCACGTTGCCCAGGCTGGTCTCAAATTCCTGAACTCAAGTGATCTGCCCACTTTGGCTTTCCAAACTGCTGGGATTACAGGTGTGAGCCACCGTGCCCAACCCTAGATCATATATATTTTTTTTATTATAGTCATAATTTGCCTCATGTTTTCACTGCAGAATTCTCTCTGTTTACATACTTAATTCCTTTCCCATGTTCTATCATTTCTTCAATAACCCATCTAGCATCTAATTGTTTTGTTTTTGCTTTTGTATTGAACTCCTTCGTGGAGTTCTTTCTCTTTCTCCCACCCGGAGTGGGTGCTCTCTGCCCCACAGTGAGTTGGTCAGCCTGGGACTTCCCAAGACTGTCCTAGTAGGATCCACTGTTTCCTGGTCCATGTCTTCCTTTTCCTTGGTTTACTACCTTATTCTGCTTGAGCACATCCTCAAGGAGCCTCTTAAGAATGCATGGATGGTAGATGTGGCAGTTTTGAAACATGGCTGCACATTTATTGCCTCTTCTGTCATTGAGAGGTGAGTCTATGTCCTTCCTCTTGAGTCTGAAACTTGTGACTGCTTCAACTAATAAAGTACAGTGGAAGTACTTTAAGAGACTTCTGAGGGTGGGTCATGCAAGGCCATGTGCTTCTGCCTTTCTTGCTGGAACACTTACTCTTGGACCTGTGTATCTGCCATATTGGAGGGCCACAGGGACCCAGTTGAGCTCACCAGGTTAAAGAGCCATGGGGTAGCAGTTAAGCCCACCATGTTGGAAAGCCAGGGGGTTCCAGTTGAGCTCACTATGGTGGAGAGGACTTGGAGTTCCAGCTGAGCTTGTAATGTTGGAGAGGCCATGGGGTCCCAGTTAAACCACCATAATGGAGAGGCCATAGTGTCCCAGCTGAGCCTGCATTGTTGAAGAGGCCATGGAGTCCCAGTTGACCCTGCCATGTTAGAGAGGCCATGGGGTCCCAGTTGAGCCAGTCATGCAGGAGAACCATGGAGTTCCAGTTGAACCTGCCATATTGGAGAAGTCATAGTGTCCCAGCTGGGCCCAGCCTTATAGCTATCCTCCCCACTTACCAGGCCTGTGAGGGATGCTAGGCCTGAAAACCACTGAGGACCTCCATCGATGCCATATAGAACAGATAAATCACCAGGATGAGCCATGTCAGAGTTCCTGGCCCACAAAATCATAGGATGTGATAAAAGGGTTGTTGCTAAGTTTGGGTGTAGTTTGTTACACAACAATAGACAACTGGAACAAAATGTTTTCTAGTTTTTGCATGTCTAAAAATGTCTTTGCTCTGCTCTCTTGCTTGTTGAATGGTAAGACTGGGAATAAGAATATAGTTTGAAAATGAATTTCCCACAGAATTTTGAAGGTTTTTCTCCTTTAATCTCCAGCATGTGTTAGCTTTTTTTTTTTTTTTTTTTTTTTTTTTTTTTTTTTTAAATAGAGTCAAGGTCTTGCTTTTTCACCCAGGTGCTGGAGTGCAGTGGTGTGATCACAGCTCACTGCAGCCTCAAACTCCTGGGCCCAGGGGTTACTCCTACTTTAGCCTCCCAGGTAGCTGGGACTACAGGCACACGTGCCACTGTGCCTTGCTAATTTTGTTTTTATTTTTAGAGATGGGGTTTTGTCATCTTGCCCAGGCTGGTCTCAAACTCCTGGGCTCAACCAATTCTCTCACCTCTGCCTTCCAAAGTGCTGGTAGTGTTAGCTTTTGAGCACCTGATGCCACTCCAGTTCTCATCACTTAATTTAATTTATTAATTAAATTAAATTTATTTTGACAAGGTCTAGCTCTGTTGTTCAGGCTGGAGTGCGGTGGCACGATCATAGTATACTATAGCCTCAAAGTCCTGGGCTTAAGTGATCCTCCTGCCTCAGCCTCCTGAGTAGCTGTGATTGCAGGCGTGTGACACCATACCTGGTTAATTTTTAATTTTTTGGTTGAGGTGGGGTCTCACTATATTGCCCAGGCTTCTCTCAAAGTCCTGGCCTCAAGTGATCCTCCCACCTGGGCCTCCCAAAGCGCTGGGATTACAGGCATGAGTCACTGCACCCCAGCCCAGTTCTCATCCCTTTAAACGTTACCCACTCCACCCACCCAACACCATTAGGGCTTTCACTTCATCTGGAAGTTCTGAAATTTCCCATAAGGAGCCTCCTGTGGGCTACTGCACACTTGTTGTGAGAGGTGAGTCCTGGGGAACGCCTGCCTTTTCCTGGGCCTTTTCCTTTCTTTTGGTCTCTGTCCTCTTTTTGGACGCCCAAGTGCTGGCTGTTGGTCTTCTGGGTTGATTCTCTAGGTCTTTTTTTTCTCTCTCTCTGGTCTTGTAACTTCACTTTCTGGGCCACTTTCTTGCACTTTATTTTCCTACCCTTCCATTGAAACTTTTATTTTGACTCTCACGTTAAAACATTTCTAGTAGTTATTTTTCTCTATTCTTTCTCATAATTTATTTTCATTTGTTTTAGGGAGGAAATATCTTCTCAGAGGGTCAGACTTATCTGGGGCTGCAATATTATCTCCTGTGGAGCCCCTCATTTTTGTTTCTACTTTTCCAGACCTTAGCTTGCAGTGGAATTAGGACGGCCACTATCGCGACCTAAGATTTTGGGGCACTTACTATGCTAAGCACTGTTTTAAGAGTGTAACATGTATTATCTCATTTAATTATCATAATAACCCTATTAGGTAGTACCATCGTTATTCCCTTTTTGTAGATGGGAAAAGTGAGCAGCAGGGTGTCTAAGTTCCCCAAGGTCACATAAAGAAGGGGTGGAGCCAGGTTAGGAACCCAAGGGCTCAGGCTGTATGATCTTAATTAACATGTTCCTGCCAGAGCCCCAAAGGGGCCAAGGATCTGTTTTTACTATAGTCTGTAGGTAGAAGGGGCCGGGAGCTGTTTTTACTGTAGTCTGTAGGTAGAAGGGGCATCTCTCACTCCCCTTTCAAAAATTAATTTTTTTTAAATTGAGATAGTTGTAGATTCACATGCAGTTATACAAAATAATACCAGGGAGATCCTGGGTAGCCTTTACCCAGTTTCCCAGGAAGGGCATCTCCTAATGAGAATATTTTTTTCCTTCCTGTTTTCTAATGGACTACTTTCAAAGTAGCTTGTTTCTGCCCCACAGGGCCTTATTGCAGGTCCTGTGAGACAGACAGTAAGGCCCCATGAGGCAGCCTCACGCTCCAACATCAGGAGTCTTTCTCAGCAGGCCCTTTTGAATGTTAATCTTCCATCTGCAGTGGGCCTCGTCCCAAGTGCAACTGACACAGCTCAGCCCACGACAGCACAGTTGCAGAGCCTGAACGCCAGCTTCTCAGCCTGGAGCGTGGCCTTGGGCATCCTCCACCCTGCTCCTCACATCCTGCCTATAACATCCTACGTTTTGCACCATCCTCAAGATATCTTGGGATGTAAGAAACAAAAAACCTACCCACAAGGGAATGTGATGTGTTGGCTTGAAACCTGGGAGTGCCAGAGGTACAGCAGGCTTCGGGCCTGGCTTCATTCAGGGGCACAGTGATGTGGTCAGTGGCCTGAGTTCTTGCTTTGCTGTTTTCCTTCCACGGTGTGAGCTTCACCTGCGGCTGGAAGAGGGCTGCCGCCAGCCCCAGGCCTGCGTGCTTCCTCCAGCTCCTCCACGGAGAAAAGAATCTTCCAGAACCTCTCAGCACGCCCCTGCTGGTCATGGAGGTCCCAGGGCACTGTGTTCTAAGGACCAGGCATCTGTGTATGTGCTCCTCTTTCCCTCCTCGCTGGGGTTTCCAACCTTGGCGTGTATGTGAACTCCTATAAACGCCGCACATGCACATCTGTGATGACCGTACTTTATGGGGATTTGGGGGTTGTGGTAGGCAAAATAATGGTTCCCCTAAAAGGTCCGCAGAACCCAGAACCTCCCAAGTGGGTGGCATCACACAAGAAGGGGGCTGGGGCTGCTGGTCAGAGAGAGCATCCTGGGTTTTCCAGACGGGCCCAGTGTAACTCCAGGGTCCTGAAAAGTGGAAGAGGGGTCAGAGAAGAAGGTGTGATGAAAAAGCAAAGCTGGGTGGCTTAGCTGCCGGCCTGGAAGGTGGAGGACAGGCCACAAGCCACAAAATGGTGGCAGATTCCAGTGGTTGAAAAAGGCAATGAAGTGGATTCCTTTTAGAGCTTCCAGCAGGAATGCAGCCCTGCAGACACCTTGATTTTGACTCACTGAGATCCATTTTGGGCTTCTGAAGTACGGAAATGCAAGTACGTGAATCTGTTTTAAGCCTCTAAATTTGCGGTCATGTGTTCTGGTGGTGGCAGGAAGCGAACACAAGTGGGGACAATGTGGCATTCTGCCTGCTGTGTCACCTCCGTGTCTGCACATTTCCTCTCCTCCAGAAGGCGAGCTGGCTCAGAGCAGGGCCTCGTGTATCATCTTTCACCTCCCTGCCCAGTGCGGTGCTGGTGCCAAAAAGGACTCGGAAAATGCTGAGTGTGTGACCGGTGCCTTGAGGTCATCGCCATGACTGTCCTCCCCCAGACCATCCTCCATGGTGGGGTGGCCTCCTGTCTTGTTCCGGGAGTCCTGATCAGCACCAGCACATGCTCTGCAGAGCTGAAGGGGGAAAGAGAGGCCTGCCCTTGGAGCTGGGGCTGCTGATTCCCAGCCTCAGGGACACTTTGCTCCCTGCCATTCCAAGGCCACCCTCATCATGGCTCAGCCCTCAGACGCTTCACCTTGAGGATGCTGGGCGCCCTGCAGGCCCGCGGCTGGAAGAGGGCAGACGCGAGGCTGCAGGCCAGCTGTGGGTCTTCCCTTTGCCTCCACCCACGTCTGGCCACGGAACTGGAGGCTTTGGTTGCGGTTTCGGACCATGAGTTTCTCTGCTGCTTCACGGCTGGTGGAGGATCATGGGCTCCTGAGTGTCTCAGTGCTGCAGGGCCAGTGTGGCTTCCAAGAGACGCCGGCCTGCGTCGGTTCTCCTCTTTGTGCCAGCTGTCCACTCCCTCCCTGGGCTCCTCTCTGCAGTGGAGACCAGGCTTTGCGTGAGGCTGGCCTGCCTCCTCGCTTGGCTACCACCTGCCACATCTCTCAGTAAGCCCAAGTGCCTCCAAGTGGCTTGAAGCCACTGAGCACAACGGGAGCCTCCCAGGATTGTCTCTGGTGCTCCTGAGCACCCACAGAAAACGTAAGTGCACTGTAAAGGCCACCTTCTAAACAACTGCCAATCCCTAGCAACAGAGGGGACGGTCAGACGCCCCTACCCCTGCGGCCCACCAAAACAACATCTGTGGGAAACAATGGGAATTTCTAGCTCTGGGTGACTTGTTAACAAAATTCTGCCACACCTATGATGGAATACTGTGCAGGTGTTAGAAACTGGCAGATCCACATGCTCCCATATGGAGCACTGTCTTTAAGAGATATTGTTGAGTGAAAGAATAAGTTAGAACCATGTCTTGTGTGTGTATATATATATATATGTATGTGTATGCATGTGTAATATATCATAGAGGAATATGCATATATATTCCTTTATAGTACATATATTCCCTTAGCTCAGTATTTTTCTTCCATCAAAAGAAAATTTGATGGAATACACCAGAAGTTGGCAAGCTTTCTCTGCAAAGGGCCATAGACAATACAGAAAGCAGCCACGGATGGTGCAGAAATGAACGAGCATGGCTGTGTTCCAATAAGACATTTACAAAAATGAGTGTCGGGTGGGACTTGTAGTAAACAAACAAATATGTTGAAGATCTGAGAGAAAAAGCAATACCGGATAAATAGCTAAGAAGTGACTCAGGCTCATAAACCATCAGCTTTCAGCAGCCCTGCAGAAGCTACCGTACTGCAGTGAATGACAACCTTGTCATCTGACATCCCAGGGACCAGGGACTGTCTGAGTCCTCCTCTTTGGCAGGGGTAACAAATGCTATCCCAAGAGAAGGTGGCGTTGTGGGGGAAGGTTGGAGTAATACTTAGGAAATCCTGGGCTACAAGTAACTCAAGGTGGCCTGAACAATAAGAAACATTTATTGTAACAATTAGCATCTGGCAAAAAGCCTCCTACCTGGTTGGTTTAGTGGCTCAATTACATCACCAAGGCCCCGGATTCTGCAGGGCCCGTCCCCCTCTGTGGATCACCTGTGGCAGTCTCCAGCCTCCTCTGTCACCACTGCAGGGCGGTGGCTGCAGTTCCAGGGGGCAGGCCGACTTGCTAAGCAGAAAATAGCCCATCTCTTCCTCAACATCACTTTTAAAGGTGAGAGAACCTTTCCCTCGCCCCTCTGCAAGCTTCCCTTTATGTCTCTTTGGCTGGGATTGTGCCACATGGCCATGTCTAACTAACCCCTGGTAAAGGAATGGGATTGTTATGTTTATTGTTATGCCTGGGTTGTGCTGGGCATATAAGCTGGGTCAGGGTCCCTGTCTCTGTAAATGAGGAAGAGCAGGGACACACCCGACTGTCTGCTAGGTAGGCAAGTGGGTGACGTGACTCTACACCCCAGAGCCTCCTCTCCTGTCTCTTGGTGACCCCAGGTGGGCCAAGGGTGAACAGCCGAAGCCACTGTGTAGTGGCTCTGTTTTAGGAACACTGTTGGAGGGGAGGGCCCCTTGCCAATAGGGTACTCCCTGTAAGATCTTCTGGTCTTTGAGTTTGGCTGACTGGCCATTCTTTTCTGGCCAAAATCCTGGCCTGTCCCTTCTCTCTGAATCTGACAGCAAACACAGACATTCTCTATCCTCGGCTGCACCCAACCCACACTGTTGTTCTGATCCCACTGCTCAGGTTCGCCCAGGCTCCCCCCAACTTGGCCCCCAACATGCGTCTTGCTGGACTGCCAGGCTGCTCCACCCTGCTTAGTGGCTCTGGGCTGTGGATGATGTTCTTAGAGGACTTCCTTGCCTGAGACCGTGTTGCTGGGGCGTAAAGACCCAACTCTCGGTGTGGCCTCAGGTCTTTTGCGAAAGGCGTCAACTTTTTTTTTTTTTTGATGGAGTTTTCGTTCCTGTTGCCCAGGCTGGAGTGCAATGGTGGGGTCTCGGCTCACTGCAACCTCCGCCTCTTGGGTTCAAGCGATTCTCCTGCCTCAGCCTTCCAAGTAGCTGGGATTACAGGCATGCAGCATCACATCCAGCTAATTTTTGTATTTTTAGTAGAGACAGGATTTCATCATGTTGGCCAGGCTGGTCTTGAACTTCTGACCTCAGGCGATCCACCTGCCTTGGTGTCCCAAAGTGTTGGGATTACAGGCGTGAGCCACCACGCCCAGCCTCTCTCTAGTTTCCTGGCTGCCCTCCTGTGCAGCACCCTGAGGACACCCCTGCTGCCCCAGCCATCTCACAGCCCTGCCCCGGGCCTGCTGCTTGTCCCCTGGCCATCACTCCCCAACTCAAGGGACCCTCAGCATCTCCTGGAACTGCAATGTGAAAAACAAAATGAAAGTGATCTTTTATTAGTAAAAATTTATTCCTTAAGTTCAAATGTGAAACATTTGCTCATTATGAAGTCAGGGAGAACAATGCCACCGTGTTGAACACACTGGGGCAGGCTGTGGTTGACAGCTGCAGGCTTCTGCCAGCCTAGCATCCAAATTACTTCCTTATTGTGTTTCCTTGCTCAGTGTCAAACAATCCTGTCACAAAGATAAGAATTAGCAGATAGTAGAAGTTTTATAAGAGCCCATCATGCAGTACTGCAACAGCCTTCTATTAAAGTGAAAACAGGAGTGATAGGAATATATTTCGAAGTTGAATTTCTAACGATATCTGGCTGCAGGTGGGGAGGGTCATGTTGTTTTTAATTGCAAATACAGAAGTCAGACAAGAAGCACCAAGAACTTAAAATAAGCACTAACCCAGGCAAGCAATCTGTTGTATGGAATCAAAGAAAAATCAAGATCAGACATCTGAAATCTGTGAAGCACCGGTTTCGACCTCGGGGATTCCTCAGAAGAAGTTTGAGAAATCCTGCCCTTGATGCCTGCTTCCCTTCAGTGCTAAGCCAGCTCCTGGTCACTGCCCTCCTGGCTCCAGCAGAGGTCATGCCCCTTCTCGGTCCTCCCTTGGCACTCTCTGGAAAGTTCCACTGGGACACTGCCCAGACCTCGCATTAGACAGGAATGATGTTTACCCACTTATCTTGCCTCCCACAGGCGGGCGATGGTCTCACCTAGCGTGACCCTCAGGTGCCTCTGCTGAGCTGCCACAGGGTCCTGAATGTGTCCATTGAGGGCATCGGGGGCCTCAGATCCGAGTAAACCCTTGCTTAACTCTCAGCCGCCAACTGGAGGAGCCAAGCAACAGGGTATGGGAAATTAAGAACCATCTCAGCCAGGTGCAGGGGCTCATGCCTGTAATCCCAGCACTTTGGGAGGCCGAGGCGGGCAGATCACGAGGTCAAGAGATTGAGACCATCCTGGCCAACATGGTGAAACCCCGTCTCTACTAAAAATACAAAAATTAGCTGGGTGTGGTGGTGGGCGCCTGTAATCCCAGCTACTTGGGAGGCTGAGGCAGGAGAATCACTTGAACCTGGGAGGCGGAGGTTGCAGTGGGCTGAGATCGTGCCACTGCACTGCACTCCAGCCTGGCGAGAGAGAGAGACTCCGTCTCAAAAAAAAAAAAAAAAAGAAAGAACCGTCACAAGCCATATGCACATCTGCCCCACTTCCCTAAAGCACTGAGTCTGTTTTGGGCACCTTGCTTTGGGAAGTGCTGACTGCAATGATAATGACAGTGATGATAATAATGGCAGCTAAAACATGCTTATTATTTCAGGATTTCACAGGCACTTTGCTCAGCACTTAATCCTCATACCAACCCTATAAAGTATGTATTAATATTTTCCTTCCCACTCTGCATATGAGGGAAATGAGGCTTTAGAAAGGTCATCTTGCCCAAGTTCACATGGTTAGCTAAGTAGCAGAGCGGGGGCTGGAACCCAGATCTTGAACCCAAAACATCTAGGAGATGTGCCATGACATGCCAACAAGGCCTCCTTGAGCCAGGGAGACGCGGCAGCTTTCTGGACTTTTCAAGCAGGTGGAGCAGGTGGAGTGACTATGTGAAGAGGAATGGAGGGAAGTGGAGGCCCTGTGGAGGCCGTCCTCAACCCTGGCCGCCGACAGCCAACACAGCAGCTAGGAGGAACATCTTTGTAGCAAGAAAAAGAATGCACAGATCATGATCATCCACTGGGGAAAGAGTAAGCTCACTTTAACTCAGATTCCTGGACGTGCTCGGGGCCCAGGCCCTCTGATTGAGAAACACTGCCCCATGCCGGCCACCCAAGAGGTCACCCACATGCCAGGTACTGTGAGTGCACTTGGGGCACAAGTGCGAAGAGAAAGGCGGGACCCCCACCCTCCCGAGTTGAGCCTACTTGGGGCCAACCTACGCTGGGTCTCCTGGTCCCTCTCCTTGGTGGCAGAAATAGGTTTCCAACAGGCTCCAGTTTTGGCAAGACCTGCCTGTCCTGCCTGGTGGGCAGCTGGAACCTAGGGGCACAGGCTAGCGGTCATCACAATCACACAGCTCAGCACCAAAGAAAGCTGTCTCTACTTAGGGTTTGTCTCCCTCTGAATTTACTGACCACTCCTGCTTCCAAAAGAGCCTTGTGCAATGTGAAACTCTTTGGAGAAGTTGCTGAAGAAGAGCTATGAAGATGCCCTCATTGAATCCACTGTGCTTCCAGAATTAGAGACGGGAAGTAAGATAGACGGACTTCCCATGTGTCATTTAAATGTTATTTCTAACATATATTTTGGGAGTGACTGTCTTCTGATTATGCTCAATTGTGGGCTGAAGTGGGTGGCTCCATCTTTATTGCAAAGGCCGGGCCATGGGGTTGGCAGCAGCTGGAGGAGATGCTTCTTCCCCTGTCCTCAGCCAGAGCCTTCTCTGTCCCTGGCTTGGGTGGCTTGGGCGAGTCCTGTTCAGCCAGGACTACCCTGCAGATGGTTGTATGTGTCTGAGAGGTGGGCAAAGGCAGCCTGGGTCAGCCCACTCCAGGACACTCCCTGCCAGCCCCGGAGTGGACCAGGCTGCAGAACCCCACATCCCTGTCCCGGACAGAGTCAGCCCAGGGCAGGATTCTTGGCCACTGTGGTCTGGCTTGAGTGCCTTGGTTGTTAGGGGCTGGTAGTACAGCTAGCCCTGCTGCTGGGTGGCGTTGCTTCAGTAGAAGGGGATTCTGAAGGAGAATGGTCAGTGTTTATAAGACTGAAGCTGGAACAGAGCACAGAGAGAAGTCTCCCTTAATGCACGATTTTGAGACAATTCCCTGGCTTACAGACCAGGTCCAACTCCTCATTCTTTCAGGCGTTGGTCATCTAGCTACAACCTACTTTTCCAGCCTTGACCACAAACCCTGTGCCCCAGGCAATCTGGCCCAGCCAGGATACTGCAGACAGGCACGAGCTTTCTGTCTCTGGGCCCTTGCTTGGCTGTTTCCATGAACTCATCATTGACTGCACCCATGGGACCACTTCCTCCTCATCCTTTTGGGGACCCAATAAAAGGTCTGCTCCTTGGCAGTGCTGTTCATGGGTCCCCAGCAGAGTGAGACCCTCCCTCTGCTGCTCTCCTGTGGCCCTGTGCCCCTCCTGTGGCCGTCATCACCTCTTCTTTGTAGTGTCTTATTTACCCTATCAGGCTGGGAAGTCCCTGAAGGGAGACTCCCCATGCTCCCCACCCAGTGCCCAGCACACACTGCTTCTTCACACACAGGCCACTACGCATGCAGTGCACATGACTGGCATGACAGAGATGCTGTGGGCCCTCTCCGTTCTGAAGGCCTTGTTTGCAGAACAGCAGGAGGTCCTCCAGCAAGGTCACCTTAGTGCTCATTGCCTTCTTCCACCAAATCTGAAGGCGGGGGGATGAGGTCTCGGGGATTCATCCTGGCTACTAGGCAGACATCATAGCTGTCATGCATGAGGACGTTGATGGCTACAACATTCCACTGGTTTTCCCATGGGTCCAGTTCCAATATTTCTTTGGAGATAACCTCATGGCGATCTGAAAAACAGCAAAGTGGGAAGACAAAAATCTCATGTGGGTATTAAATTCAGAGGCCATCAGCACCATACTGAGTAACTTCCTCCAAAAGGCAATGTCTTAGTCCACTTGCTGTTACTGTTAACAGAATACCCAGGACTGGGTAGTTTATCAAGAAAAGACATTTACTTGGCTCACGATTCTGGTGGCTGGAGAGTTCAAGACTGGGGATCTGCATCTGGTGGGAGCCTTGGCTGTTTCAACTCATGGCAGAAAATGGAAGGGGAGTGGGCATTTGCAAAGAGGTCACTGGGACAGGGAAGGAGTAAAAGAGAGAAATCAAGAAAGCCAGACTGTTTTTTTTTTGAGACGGAGTCTTGCTCTGTCACCCAGGCTGGAGTGCACTGGTGCAATCTCGCTCACTGCAACCTCCGCCTCCCGGGTTCAAGCAATTCTCCCGCCTCACCCTCCTGAGTAGCTGGGATTACAGGCACATGCCACCATGCCTGGCTAATTTTTGTATTTTTAGTAGAGACGGGGTTTCATCATGTTAGTCAGGCTGGTCTCGAACTCCTGACCTCATGATCTGCCTGCCTCAGCCTCCCAAAGTGCTGGGATTACAGGCGTGAGCCACCACGCCCGGTTGCCAGACTATTTTTAACAGCCCCCTTTCCCAGGAACTAATCCATTCTTATGAGAGCCCAAGTTCACCCCCAAGGGAGGGTGTTAATCTATTCATGAGGGATCCATGGCAAGACACCTCCCACTAGGCCCCACCTCCAGCACCGCTACACTGGGGACCAAATTTCAACATGAGTTTCAGAGAGAACAAACTCAAACCACAGCAGGACTTAAGCACCAAAAATTAATTAACAACTGAATAAAGATACTTTAAATGGAAGGCAGTGTTCCTGATTTCTAAGAAACGAAGAAAGGCCACGTTCACAATTCAGTCAAAAATTATTCAAGAAGTTCTGACAGGGCATGCCGTTGTCTCCAGTTGAAAAAGTGTTCCAATGCCATATGAATGATTTAGCAATGATGTGAACAAGGGTTGAAACTGCCCTATTTCCACCCCCATAGAGGAGGCACGGCTGGAGTCATGTGGCCCTGGGCTAGCGCTGCCCTCTGAGCTTGTGTTTGGGATAGGGATGCTCACATTCAGGTGGGGTCCTGTGGAAACACAGCATACTCCACCTGGGCAACATGAAGAGTTCAGTCAAGGGACCTTTAGAACGCTGTGAGCGGGGCTTAGGAAGGCCCATGGGGGATGGCACAGTACCCAGCACTAATCACAGCAAGGGGCTGTCACTGTCCCTAGACCTGGAAGGCGAGGGAGGGAGAGAGCACTGGAGCTGGGACAGGGGAGCTGTCTGGGGAGCAGCACCGGTCTTGAGCAGAGAAAGATGGACACAGCCATCCTTAGCAGGGAGGCAGCAGGGAGGGCAAATACCCTGCATTTTCTATCTTTTTATGTGAAAGTCAGGTGCAGGCAAGGGAGAGGCTCAGGAAAACAAGTTTTCTTATCCTCACAGATCCCAGAGGCACGAGGCAGAAGACAGGAGTGAGGGGAAGGTGTAGGCCACGGGAGAATCCAGGCAGGGGAGAGTGGACACCTTAGGACTGGCTGGTTTGAATAATTTCAGTGGGTGTGGGGACAGGAGTGGTCTCTAGTTGCCTGGTGCCTGGCCCTGGGATGACTGAGGCAGAGGCACACTGTCTCCCGGGGTGTGGGGGCCAGACAGAGGAGGTGTGGCTCTGGGCTGGCTCGTGTGCACAGCAAAGATGTGCTCCAGGCAGAGCCCTTTCTTGTCCTTAAGGACTGGCCAGCCTGGGGAGGGCAATCATTCCCCAACCAGAAAGGTCTCTTAAGTTGTCAAAACATCACAATATACAGAAAATTTAAAATCTTTACAATATACCCTGACTCTCCTTTCTTTTCACCTGATAATTTCCTGCTCTTTCCTCCTGCTAACTGAACCATCCAGAAGCCAGAGAGGAAAGGAACCTTTAATGCTGTCTATAGAGGCCAGCCTGGAAGGACACAGAGAGAGGTGGGGAAGGGTAGGGGTGAGTGTGGAGGGACAAATGGAAGATTTCCAGCTTGGACGCCTATTTAACAATTTTATGGTAATTAAAGAAGATAATGTGTGTAAAGTGCCCAGCCTCGTTTCAGCATGTGGAAGTCAATTTTTGAAAATGATCCACGTGTGCTCATAAAGGATGTATATCCTGTAGCTGTTGGCTGTGGTGTTCCACATGTTCATTAGGCCTTGTTATTTAGCTCTTATACATATTTACAGGCACCCGCCACCACTCCCAGCTAATTTTTGTATTTTTATTAGAGACGGGGTTTCACCATGTTGGCCAGGATGGTCTCAATTTCCTGACCTTGTGATCTGCCCTCCTCAGCCTCCCAAACTGCTGGGATTACAAGTGTGAGCCACCGTGGCTGGCCAAAAAGACAATCTTTCTTAAACCTGGGTATGTATCACAAACACACTGGAGAAAAAGTGGGAACTTTTGAGGAAAACTGGCAGGACACTGGATTACAGAATTTCTTTCCTCCAAAACCTAATGAAATAAATCCCCAATCCCCAGATATACTTGCACCCACTAACCAATCTCAGCAACATCAAAAGTGGGATAAACTGTTTCTAGAAGTAATTCTATTTATGTCAGAATCTGTTATGTTAATAATAATGACTATTTATTGGATAGCATTAGGTGATTTAAATGTATGATCTCATTTAGTCTTTTGAACTATCATCTGAGAAGGATTTATTATTTTCTCCATTTTGTAGAAAAGGTAACAGGTCCAGAAAAGCTAATTAACTTGCCTCAGGATTGACAGCTGATACATGGCAGAACCAGGCTCTGAAGAAGCACATGGAACAAGCTATCTTAGACAGTCTAGAATCTGGGATGTGTATCAGACAATAGTAAGGGATTATGTGCATTTTTTAGGTGTGAATTTGGCACAGTAGGTATATTAAAATATCCATCCAGTTAGAGATGGATATTAATGTATTTTTGGATAAAATGGCCTGATTATTAGATTTGCTTTAAAGTACTCCAGTAAAGAAAAGTAAAAAGAAGAAAAAAAGTATGTTTGGAAATAAGAACAGCAAAATTGTTGAAGCTGGTGTGGTCAGATTGGCTTAATTGTATTATTGTTTCTAATTTGGTATCTAATGTGAAATTTCTAAAAATGAAAACCAACAAAAAATCTAAAATAGAATTTGTATGATTTTGATTGGATTTTTATTAAATTTATAAATCAGATTGGGAAAGGTAACATCTTAACAGTTTTCTAATCATGCAGCATGATATATCTCTCAATTTTTGGAGTGGGAGAAATGTTTTATGTCTTTCAATGTAATTTATTTAAAATAACCCAATGGCTGACTCAGAGTACTGCATTCCTCCTGGCCACAGAAGGATGGTTTATGGATGGAATTATAATCCGGTCAAAGACAACTACACTCGGCCAGGCACAGCAGCTCACACCTCTAATCCCAGCACTTTGGGAGGCCAAGGTGGGCAGATCACTTGAGGTCAGGAGTTTGAGACCAGCCTGGCCAACATGGTGAAATCCCGTCTCTACTGAAAATACAAAAATTAGCTGGGCGTGGTAGCGCCCACCTGTAGTCCCAGCTACTTGGGAGGCTGAGGCAGGAGAATCACTTGAACCCAGGAGGTAGAGGTTGCAATGAGCTGAGATTGCACCACTGCATTCCAGCCTGCGCGACAGAGCGAGACTCCATCTCAAAAAAATAAAAAATAAAAAATAAATAAATAAAATAACCCAATGATTACACTATCAGTGCCAAAATTTGGGAATTCTGTTAGACCTCTTACCTCAAACCAAAAACTTTGAAATGTGCTAGAGACAGATTAATTTGAACCAACCTTGTTTTATCTTCTCTTGTTCTATCTTCTTGAAATGGATGCTTAGTTCCTTTTTTTCATGTTTCAATGTCTACTAATATGTGCACTTAAGGCTTACATTTCTTCTGAGTACCTCTTTTTAGAAGATTTCTGGTGCAGTTCAAATTTCTCCATAGTTTGCAATCTCAGGCCTAATTTCTGCTTTAACCCAAGACTTATTTAGGAAAATGTTTTAACATCTCCAGCTGAGTGTATGTGTTAGTACATGCATGTGCACTTGACTACCCTTTCACTGAATGCTTCTAATTTATTTGCATCATAGACAGCACATATTACTTCTATAATTTGTATTTTGGGGAATATATTGAGATTTTCCTTTGCCCTAATTTATGGTTAGTCAATGTATGTGTTCTGTAAGTGTTTAAAAGGAAGTTACATTTTGTTTGCTTGGCAGAGGATTCTATATATCTATGACATTTAAGTTGCTAATTATGCTATTTAAATCCTTGATACCAGTGCTGTCCAAGAGAACTCACTGTGATGAGGGAAATGTTCTGTAATCTGTGCTGTCCAATAGAGTAACCACTGCCCATATGTGGTGTGGAGTAATTTGAAATGTGGCTAGTGAGACTGAGGAACTGATTTTTAAATTTTATTTAATTTTAATTAGCTTAAGTTGAAATTCAGATAGATGTAAGTGGCTGCTGACCATTGTGTTGTGTTGGGCAGCTCAGTTCTGGATCTCTTTTTGCTTTAGTTTTAAAAAATCAATTTGATCCATGGATTTCTGAAAAAGTCCATGCAAATTTTGCGGATTTATCCATTTATGTTACTATTTCCAATAGCTTCTGCTTTATATATAAGTGTTCACTCTTACTTCCTGGAGCACTAAGTCTTAGAGACTGCTTTAAAGTCTCTGCCTAGTTATTTCAAAATCTGTGCCATCTTGGGGTTAGTATCTGTTGATTGTCTTCTCTCTTGTATGATCTGATATTTTCTTGGTTCCTGGTAAGTCAAGTAATTTTGGATTATATGCTAGGCATTTTGAATATTATGCCATATTATTCTAGGTCTTGTTTAAATCCTGTGGAAAATGTTGATTTTTTTGTTTATTTGTATTAGCAGAAAATCAAAAACTGACCCAGTTAGGTAGGCCGCAAGTTCCTGGCTACCTTCTGTGGGCTGTGTTTCCAATGTCAGCTCAGTTTTCAAAGGCTTTGGTAGACAGTTTAGGGCTAAATCATGTGTGTGTGGCCCAGGAGCTCACGTCCAACTTTATGAGATCACTTTCTTGAGCTCCCTCCTGTCTGCAATCTTCCTTACATTTTCCTGATTCCAGCAACATCCTTATGCCCCTTCCTGGCCTTCTGGCTAAAGAGCTGGAGCTTTGGATTCTTTGCTCTGATGCACACTTTCCATGAACATGCATGCCTCCAAGGTGACGTGGCCAGTAGACCAAGATGGAAAGGCAATGGGGACTTTACTCAGACTCTTGGGACCAAAGTTTCCCTGGTCAGAGAAAAGGGGGCCAGCCCAGCCCCTGCTATTGCTACCACCTGGGAATGCCTGGGAGCTTGGGAAGGGGGTGGGGTAAAGAACGAAAAAAAGAAGAAAGAAAAAATTCCCCCTGTCTGACCCATAGGAGCCCTCTTCCTTCCTCCTTGGAACAGAAAAAGAGGATTTTCTTAGAGTTTCTGTCCATACTTGGTCTGAAGTTCCAGGCTTCAGGCTATCTTTGAGTCCAGGCCAGGAAATATCAAGGGAAAAAAATGAGACAATTATTATTGATTTGGTGGTATTTCAAGTTCTGACTTCTTTCCCCAGTCTGCCCACTACCATTTACTTTTCAGAGTTCTCAGATTGCTGCTCCATGCATCTGGCCAGGGGATTTAATTGCCTTTAGTGGGACAGACAGGGTGGAGTGTGTTGACTATCCTGACTAGAACCCAGTATTCCAGTCTGTTGTTGAAATCAGGGAATGGCCCTAGTTTTTGGCCCAAAGAGATGTTGGGAAGCTGTCTCAGCAAAAGGTAAAGAACAGAGGTCGTAATGGAACAGAATAGAGAGCTCAGAAATAATGCTGCACACCTACAACCATCTGATTTTCAACAAGGTTGACAAAAAGAAGCAATGGGGAAAGGACTCTCTATTCAATAAATGGTGCTGGGATGGCTGGCTAGCCATATGCAGAATATTGAAACTGGACCCCTTCCTTACGCCATATACAAAAATCAACTCAAGATGGATTAAAGATTTAAATGTATAGCCTAAAACTATAAAAACTCTGGATGATAACCTAGGAAATACCATTCTGGACATACACTCCAGCAAAAATTTCATGACAAAGACACCAAAAGCAATTGCAACTGAAATAAAAATTGACAAATGGGATCTAATTAAACTAAAGAGCTTCTGCACAGCAAAAGAAACTATCGACAGAGTAAACAAACAACCTATAGAATGGGAGAAAGTATTTGCAAAATATGCATCGACAAAGGTCTAGTATCCAGAATCTATAAGGAACTTAAATAAATTAAACAAAAAACAAACAACCCCATTAAAAAGTGGGCAAAGGACACGAACAGACACTTTTCAAAAGAAGACATACACACGGCCAACAAGCATATTAAAAATGCTTAATATCACTAATCATTAGAGAAAGACAAATTAAAACCACAATGAGATACTATCTCACACCAGTCATAATGGCTATTATTAAAAAGTGAAAAAAGATGCTGGCAAGGTTGCAGAGAAAAAGGAATGCTTATACGCTGCTGGTGGGAATATAAACTAGTTCAGCCATTGTGGAAAGCAGTTTGGCACTTTCTCAAAGAACTTAAAACAGAACTATCATTCGACCCAGCAATTCCATTATTGGGGATACACCCAAAGGAACATAAATTGTTCTACCATAAAGACACATGCATGTGTATTATCACTGCAGAACTATTCACAATAGCAAAGACCTGGAATCAACCTAAATGCCATCAGTGGTAGACCAGATAAAGAAACTGTGGTAGACACCATGGAATACTATGCTGCCATAAAAAGGAATATCATGTCATTTGCAGCAACATGGTTGGAGCTGGAGGTTATTATCCTAAGTGAACTAATACAGGAACAGAAAACCAAATACTGCATATTCTCACTTATAAGTGGGAGCTAAACATTGAGTACACATGTACACAAAGAAGGGAACAACAGATACTGGGGCCTACTTAAGGGTGGAGGGTGGGAGAAGGGTGAGGAGGATGAGGATCAAGAAACTGGATGATGAAATAATCTGTACACCAAACTCCTGTGACACACAATTTACCTATATAACAAACCTGCACATGTACCCCTGAACCTAAAAGTTAAAAATAAATTAATTAAAAGTGTAACAAACTAACACACACAAAAAGAACAGAGGTCCTGTGGTACATACACACAATGAAACAGCATACACACATAAAAATGAATAAGGACAGCCTCTACTACCTAACATGGAAAAGATTTCTGGGAGACAACTTAAGTGCAAAAAGTGAACTGCATGGTTTTACAGGATCTCTTCCACATTTTCTACCATTTGCAAAGGAAAAATAATAACTACACAGTGATGAAATTAGACCATATCTTGACTAGGTAATTAAAGTGAACTTTGCCAGCAAGGGGCAGAGAGACACAGTTTGCCTCCAGATGTGATGTCCTGAGATGGACATATATCAGTTATGTAATATTCCAGCCGGGAATGTATAACCTGAATTTAATCACCAGGAATATCGGATAGACATCAAGAGAGGAAGATTTTATTCTAAAACGGGGAAATTGTGCTAATTAAACAAGTTAATGTTGTAAAAAGGGGGGAAAAAGGGCGTGTCGACATGTTCCAGATTTAAGAAAACTGAGAAGACATGTCAACAAGCACAATACTTGATCTTAGACTGGCATGGAGAGAAAAGGTGCTACAAAAAGAACATTACCAGGTCAACTGAAAAAATTAGAAGACTAAGAGTAGAATAAATAAAAATATGGAATCAATGTTAAAATTCCTAAAATTGTTAGCTATCCGTGTTTATGTAAGAAAATATTCAGATTCTACACACTGGGTATTTAGGTGTAAATTGTGTGATGTATGCAGCTTACTTGCATATGGTCAGAACAAAATTATGTACCTGTCTATATGTATGGGTATTGCATGATTGAGCAAATGTTAAATAATGCAAATTAGGAAAAATATTAGCAATAGGTGAATCTGGGTATTCATTATACCATTTTCTTTTTTGTAACTTTTCTGTAAGTTTAAAATTATTTCAAATAAAAAGTTTAAACAAGAAAAGAGTTCACCAAGATTCTATTCCCTCATGGTCGCTGTAATGTCAATGTTGCAAACAGCAGTAACCAATGTCAGGCTTAAAGTCCAATGCTGCCTAAAGTCCAAAGCCAACAGCAGACCTCTTTAGCCTTTCCTAGCTTGATAGAGTTCGGAGAGAAAATTCTATCTCATGCTAACAAATCAGTGTCAATTTTTCAAATTTGCAAAAACTTATAAAACATATAAAACTTTAGGGATCTACAGATCTGCATGTCAGCTTAGCACAGAGCATGGAGACTGAGTTCCTGTTCTTGGATGCATTCTAGGAAAAGGAGAACCAATGACTACATGGTAAGAAGAAGCTGGTGCAAGGTGGGACAATGACAGTCTGCTATCACTGCAAGCTGAATCTGTCTTTTCTGACCCACGCGGTGCTCCTGATGTCATGTGTATCTTCTTGGTTAACAGTAATAAGCCTTCTTTATTTGAAGGTGGGTGGTTAGGGTGCCATAGAAGAGACTGTCAGAAGTATCAGCTGACATACCAGATGTCAGCCATATCTCCTCTGTGATCCCTGTTCCAGAACAGGCTGACTACATCCGTCTGCTACTCTTTGCCTGAGGATTTTCTCTTAGCTCCAGGGGGTCAGATAGGAAGTTAGTCTGAGGATGAACACCTCCAGATCCTTCACCCTTTGGGTGAGACAACTGCGAGGTGTGTTCTACACTGCCTCCCAGAATTTCTCAGTGGGACTGACCCTCAGTGGCCCACAGTGGTTACCTGTCAGGTCACACTGCTCTCCTGGCGCCCCTCCTTTCCCATCTTACTCTCTTCTCCCCTCTTAGTAGCCTCCTGGAAGCACTTTCCCATCAAAAAACTATTTGCACTCAAAGCCTTGTTTCAAGGTATGCTTTGGGGGAACTCAAACTAACAGAGATGATTTATTTATTTATTTATTTTGAGACGGAGTCTCGCTCTGTCACCCAGGCTGGAGTGCAGTGGTGCGATCTTGGATTACTGCAAGCTCCACCTCCCAGGTTCATGCCATTCTCCTGCCTCCCGAGTAGCTGAGACTACAGGCACCCGCCACCATGCCCGGCTAATTTTTTTGTATTTTTAGTAGAGATGGGGTTTCACCATGTTAGCCAGGATGGTCTCACCTCGTGTTCCCCCAGCCTCGGCCTCCCAAAGTTCTGGGATTACAGGCGTGAGCCACCGTGCCTGGCCAGATGATTATTTTTATACTTGGAAACTTAATTGGAAAATAAAGCCAAGTGGTCCGGAGGGGAAAGAACAGGTCAGATGTATGGAACAGGGAACTTGTCCCTGAGCAATCAGGTTGTGAATGAATGTGGTGAGTCTCCAGGATTTGGGGATGGGATCTTAGCTTCTCACTCTTAAGGGACAGGAGGTTCCTGTCAGTTGAAGGACATTCCCTTCATGATGGCCCATACAGAAACCTGTTCACAATCTGCTGCTCTGGCATCTAGGGAGAGCAATGCCCTCAGGCTGGAGTGACGGTACAGGATGAAACTGATGGCTGTGGAGCCCTCTTTCCGTATCATGGAGGCCCCTGGGAAGAACACAGTCAGAAGAGAAAGGAAAGCATGAGACAGACTTAGGAGGAGAAAGCAGCAGAAGCAAAGATTCAGATGCCTCCTGCAAGGGATTCAAAATCCATCAGTTTTCTTTCTTTGCTTTGGTGGCTACGAAGCTGGGCCAAATTCTGGAAATGTTTCTTAGCTTAGGTTTGCTGATATAATTGCTCTCTGCACTTACTGCTAAGCATGTTTTTAGTTTTATTTTGTCTATGCCAGTTCTGTAAAATGTCTCCATTCCTTGTGGAAATAGAAATGTTTTTTATATATATGATATAGACAGTGTATGTATGTATGGGTATATGGTATATACTGTAGGACAGATAGGAAGTTGAAAATGAAAATAGTAACTCTCCTCCAGGATATCATAAGTTTAGTACAATTTCTCCAGGGTGTGGCTGGGGGGCACGGGGATGCCAAAGGTAAAACAAACCACTTCCATCATTCCATCTTTTTCTCTGTAGTCATTAGTACTAGGATAAAACAGACTTGTAGCATAGTGGCCACCATAGCTGGTGTCTATCAAAGCTTTGTTCTTTTATCAGTTTTTTATTTTGAGAAATTTCAAACATACAGAAAAGGTGAAAGAATAGTACACTGAATACCGGTGTATTCTGCATCTAGAGTCAATAATAGTTAGCATTTTGCCTTATTATCTTTATGTCCCCACCCCATACACACACACACTTTTTTTTTCCTGAAACCTTGAAAAATCAATTACAGGCATAATACTTCACTCCTAAATACTCAGCATACTTCTTCTAAGGATGAGGAAATTCCTTTACATAATCACAAACCATTATCATACCTATGAAAAAATAACATTAATTCTATAAAATTGAATAAAATCCTGTTCATATTCTAATTTCCCCAGTTGTCCCCAGAATAACTCAATAGCTGTTATTTTCAAACCATCATCCAACCAACCTTCACACATTATACTTTGTTATTATGTCTCTCTGGTCTCCTTTCATTTAGGAAGGCCCCCATCTTGGGTTTTTTTCCCTGTGACATTAATTTTTTTGAGTCAGGGTCAGTTTTCTTGTAGAATGTCCCACAAGCTGAATTCACCTATCTCCTCATAGGGTTGTTTACTTTGTTCTTCCTCTATTTCCTATAAACTGGAGGTAAAATGTAGAGGTTTGACTGGACACAAGTTAAGTATTTTGGTGGTGGTGGGGACATGAGAAGACTCTATACTGAATGATATAGGAAGCAAATACTATAAAATTATATCATTATTAATGATGATTATTTGATTACAGCGGTGGCTATCCAATTTCTCCATTGTAAAAGTACATATTTTTTCATGTTGTAATTAGTCTGTGATTTATCAGGTAATATGTCTTCAGTGCCATGTGACTATCCTGTTCTTTATAACCTTTCAACCGATGCTTTTAGCATCCATTGATGATTTCTGACTGAACCAACTATTATACAAATTAGGATCTTGGCTATCCTTCTATCATGACTTCTACATTTATTACCTGGCTTTTGATTCAATGTGTTTCAGTCAATTATAGTCAATTACGATTTTTGATGTTTGAATTATTTTGAATCTGGCCAGTGACTGCCCTTTCAGGCTGGTTTCTCTGTCTTTTCATGACTCCCTTAAGTCTTTGACAATGTACCTGCTTTCTGGTGTAACAGGATATCTGAACCTTACCTTGCAATTTCTGTGCTCCAAACCTAGAATCAGCTATTTTGTGAAGAAGCACAACTACATTCTAAGCAGCTAGCTGAGTCCATCATCCAACAATACAGCAACTTCCTTATTTTGCCCTCAATGAGCTCTGTTAGGGCTGGAACCAAACATGTTTGTATGTGTATCTTTGGGGTTTAACATGGGCTTACTACCTAGAAAGGCATTCAATAAAGGTTTGTTGAATGAAAACCCAACAGACATCAGCCAGGCTCTTAACCCTGACTGCATGTTAGAAAAATCTGAAGATTTTTAAAAAATATTGATGCCCAGGCCCCATAACCAAATATTCTGATTTGATTTGTCTGGTATGGAGAGACAGTTTAGCCTACTGCTAAAAATATAGACTTTGGGGCCAGACTATCTAACTTTGAATCCCAAATTCAACATTTACCCTCTGTTTGACTTCTTTAGATGGCTTCAGTTTCTGCACCTTTAAAATAAGGGAAATAATAGTTGCAGGCTGTTGAGAGAATCAAATAAATTAACACATGCAAAGTGCTTAGAATTTTCCCTAGCACAGGGTAACCAGGTAACTGTCAGCTGTCAATTTTAATCTGCATTGGTTAGTAAAAGAATTCATTTTTGAAGTACTTCCCAGTGCATTTTCTCTTTCTGATAATTCAGATTTGTCCTCGACAGGCTTTTCACCATTAAGACTGTGCCACAAGACTAAACTAGAGGAGGCAGAGGGGTGATTTGAGGGAAGTTCTTGCTGGACAGATGGAGGAGGTAGAGAGCATTTCCAGTCCTGGGTGAAGGAAGGAAGATTTGGAGGGGCTGATACTAAGGTGAAAATGTTGTTTGGGTCCCCTAGAAGTTAGCCAAAGAAGATGATGAAAATGGCTCAGATGGGCTGAAGGCAGAAGGGACTTAGCCTGGACTCTGGGAAGAAATCCCCCTGCCCACAGCGGGTCCCACTGGCAGCCAGTATAGAGTTGAAGTGGAGAAACAGGAGGCCTCCCTGCTCCCTCAGCCTGCTCCCTGAGCTCCCCTGCCATCCTGGAGGAAGGGAAGACAGCCACAAGTGGCAAACAAGTGTGTACCGATGGGCTGCCATAGTAGGGAATGGGGGGACCCTGCACCAGAGTTCGGGGAAACAGACAGAAACCAGAGCCTGGCAAGAATATGCAGTTGAGTCTCAAAGGGCCAACAGCTGGAACAAGAGCCAAAGTGGGGGCTTTGTCAGCAGGGAGAAGGCTGAGCCCTCTGGGAGCAACTCCTCTTTGTGAGATATACAAGAATCCTGAGGGCACACTTGAGCTAGAAAACATGAGAGTGGCTCTTCGGTATTCAGTTCATTATGATTATCACCAAGATGCCCTCTGTCCAAGCCCACAGGGTCCCTTAAAAGGCAGGATTTCTGCGTGCCAACCACAGGAATCTTTTGCAGGTACCTAAGGCCACAGTGTTGTCATCCCTTGGATGTTCTTATAGCAGGGAATAGTTTCCTGCCACTAGGTGTCATCTGCCACCACTGTCTTCTCTGTCTCAGGAAGCCTAATTCTGTCTCTGGAATGGGCCATTTCTGCCTCTTTCACTCAAGGAACCTGCCTCTAAGCACCCTCACCATGGGCAGTTCAGCTTAATTCTCCTCATTAGTGTCAAACACCAAGCTGATTACTGTGAGGATATAAGAGAAGGAGTTCTGACTTTTTCACTTTAACAACAGCTTTATTGAGGTATAGTTCATATATCATAAAATTCACCCCTTGAAAATGTATAAAAAAATGGTTTTTTAGTATATTCACAGAGTTGTGCAGCCATCACCACTGTCTAATTTCAGAACATTTTCATCACTCCCAAAATAAATCCTCTGCCCATTAGCAGTCACTACCCATTCACCCTTTCTCCATTTTCTGGCAATCACAAATCTACTTTCTGCCTCTATCCATCTGCCTTTTCTGGACATTTCATATAAATGGAATCATGTGATATGTGGTCTTTTGTGATTGCCTTCTTTCACTTAGCATAATGCTTTCAAGGTTCATCTATGTTGTAGCAACTGTTAGTATTTCATTCCTTTTTATTGCCAAATGATATTCCACTGCTTAAATAGACAGTATTTTACTTATTTGTGTATTTTACTTATCTGTCCATCTGTGGATGGACACTTGGGTTGTTTCCACTTTTTGGCTGAGACGAATGCTGCTGCTGTGAACATTCAGGTACAAGGGTGGGCATATATTTTCAATTCTCTTGGATATATACCTAGGAGTGGGATTGCTGCATCGTATGGCAACTCTGTGTCAACCTCTTGAGGAACTGCCAGACTTTTCCAGAGCAGCTGCATTATTTTATATCACCAGCAACGTATGGTGGTTTTGATTTCTCCAAACCTCGACAATACTTGTTATTATCTATCTTTTTTTCATTGTAGTCATCCTTGTGGGTATGAAGTGTATCTCATCATGGTTTAGATTTGCATTTTCTTAATGGCTAATGATGTTGAGCACTAGATCATCTGTTTATATTCACTGGACAAGTGTCTATTCTGTTCCTTTGTCCATTAAAAATATGTTATCTTTTTATTATTGAGTTATAAGATTTCTTAATGTATTTTAGATACAAGTCTCTTACCAGACATGATTTGCAATTATTGTCTCTCATCCTGTGGGTTGTCTTTTCATGTTCTTGTTGTTGCTCTTTGAAGCACAAACGTTTTGATTTTTGATGTACAATTTATCTTTTTTTTTTGGTATGTGTGCTTTGGCATTTCTAAGAAACCATCACCTAATTCAAGATTTATGCCTACATTTTCTTCTAAGAATTTTACAGTTTTAGGTTGTATGTTTAGATTTTTAATCTACTTTGGGTTCCTTTTTGTACATGGTAAGAGGCAGGATTCCAACTTCATTATTTTGCATGTGGATATCCAATTATTCCTGCACCATTTGTTGAAAAAAGGATCCTTTCCTCACTGACTTGTCTTGGCAGCCTTGTTGAAAATCAGTTGACTGAAATGGAGGGATTATTTCTGAACTCTCAAGTCTATTCTACTGATCGATATGTTTTGTCTATCATTATGCTGGTACCACATGGTCTTGACTACTATAGCTTTGAAGTAAAGCTTCAGAATTAGGAAGTGTGGGTCTTTCATCTTTGTTCTTTTACAAGATCATTTTGGCTTTTCTGGGTCTCTTACATTTCCATATAGATTTTAGGATCATCCTATCAATTTTTGTATGTAATATCTTACCATTTATATAGAATTTTAATTCCTTTTAATGATGTCTTGCAGTTTTCAGTGTACAAATCCTGTACTTTTTTTGTTAAATTTACTCCTATTTTATTCTTTTTGATGATATTGTAAATAGAATTGTTTTCTTAATTTCATTTTTTAATTGTTCATTGTAAGTGTATAGAAATACAATTTTTTGGCGTATGGTCTTATGTCCTGCACCCTTGTTGAACCTGTCTATTAGCTCTAGTAGCTTTTTAAAATAATTCCTTAAGATTTTCGAAAAAAATGATTATGTCATATGCAATTAGTTATTACTTTCCAATATGGATGCTTTATATTTCTTTTTCTTTCATAATTTTACTGATTAGAACCTCCAGTATAATGCTGAATAGAAGTGGCAAGAGTAGGCATTCATGCCTTGTTCCTGATTTTAGGGGGAAACCTTTCAGTCTTTTACCATTAAGCATGATGTTAGCTGTAGATTTTTCATAAATACCCTTTATCGGGCTGAGGAAGTTACTTTCTATTTCCAGTTTGTTAAGTATCTATAGCACGAAAGGGTGCATCTATTTTTTTTCTTTGCATCTATTGAGATAATCTGTTTTTTTCCCTTTATTCTACTAATACGGCATATTACATTGATTCGTTTTCTTTTTTTTTTCCTTCAACTTTTATTTTAAGTTCCGAGGTATATATGCAGGATATGCAAGTTTGTTACATAGGTAAATGTGTGCCATGGTGGTGTGCTGCACGGATCAACCCATCACCTAGGTATTAAGCACAGCATCCATTAGCTGTTCTTCCTGATGCTCTCCCTCCTCCCACACATTGATTCATTTTCAAATGGTAAGCCAACTTTTCATTTCTGGGATAAATCCTTCTCGAACACGGTGTATAATTCTTTTTGCATGTTGCTGGATTCAGTTTGCTAGTATTCTGTTTAGATTTTTGCATCTATATTCATAAAGGCTACTAACCTATAGTTTTCTTGCAATGTCTTTGCCTAGTTTTGGTATCAGAATAACACTGGCCTCAAATAGTAAGTTTGGAATTGTTCCCTCTTGTATATTTTGTAAGAGTTTGTGAAGGATTGGTGTTATGAGCTCTGACCTTTTTGAAACACAATACTGGCTCCCTCATTCTGTATTGGAGGTGGAGAACAAAGCCTCCTGGTGAGTCCCAGGACTCTGTCAAGAACTGCAAAGAGTCTGGGATTTTATAAGTAAGCTTGCTGCAGTTTCATGGATGCTAATAGAAGACGTAAGACTTCTGGGTCAGAGATGAAAGACAGTGTTATAGCAATAGTAGCAACTAGTATATCAGCATTTTTATGCCAGTTATTATGCCAGTTTTTTGACTTATTCTCACGGGGCAATGTGAAGAGTGCCAGCTGAGACCTGTACAATCAATGGGTTGCATTACTGCAGAGAAATGCTGAGCTTAGGGAACCGGAATTTTTCATAATGACCAGTGAGCATGCCTGCTCTTTGCTGTGGAGATACTGACTATATCTTCTAAGGCTGTATGCTATCAAAGATGCTTGAAGAAATAGTCCAGAACAAAAGCAGTCAGTACCTCTGCTCATAAGACATGCAGAAACACTTAAGACCCATGGAAAATTATCTCCCAAAAGACTCACTTGTTCATATTTTTCTTAATACTCTCTTGTTATTCTTCTACTATATGCACTATATTTACATATTTTAAATTTAGGTTTTATTAGTTACACATTTGCTTGATTTAAATAGCTGCTTTACAAGTCTTATTCCTTAAAAACAGTTGTTCCCTGACCTGCTCCCCATTCACTGCTTCTCTCTCCACTCTGGCTGATTCTGCTGGCACTGACCATGGTCTCTATAAACAACACTTTTTATATTACTTCTGCCTCTTGCTTTGTCAGATGAAGGCATTAACTCTTGACTTCCACTGTGAAGAATGCGGACTTGGCTTTCTCTCACATTCCTACCCTATCTACCTATGGTCTGTTTCCACATTTTCCAGTACAGTTAAGGCATAGTTTTGGTCAGTTCAGTATTGAGTATGTTTATTATGATATTGTTATAAATGCTATTCACAGATGGACTGTGTGGCATACTTTTCCTTTTCTGCATGACTTACTGTTTTCTCTCATTTTATTTTTGCTAGTTTTCATTGTTCTTCTCCAAATGTTGGAATCTTGAAGGCATCTCTCACAGAGCCCTTTGACCGGCTCCATTCTATTCTGGCCACTCTTTCGGCCTGCTTTGCAGCTTCTTGAATCTCCCCTCAATATCCTCCACTGATTTCCTTTTCTCTCTATTATGTTTAATTCTGTTCTTGGGTCCCACATCTATCTTTTTTGGTTTATATGTTCATTTTTGGTGAAGCATGTCCTGATAAAAGGGCACACAGGAGAAAAAATTTTGGAGGCACTGTATGTCTGAAAATGTGCCCTCAAATTTAATAGTTCAGCAGGCATAGAATCGTAGGTGGAAAGTAATTTTCCCATAGAAATTTAGATAGCATTTGCTTCGTTTTCTTCTAGCTCCCAATGTCATCATTCAGAAGTCTGATTCTTGGCACTTTGTGTAAAACTATTGTTTTTTCTCTTTAGGAACTTTTACAACCTTTTATTTTTTTCCCCAGTGTTCTGTAATGTCACAGTGATGTGCCCTAGTTTGGGTCCCTTTTCATCCTTTGTCCTTGGCATTTGTATATCCTTTCAATCTGATGACTTCAGTTTGGGGGAAAATTTTTAATTTACTTCATGGATAATTTATTTCCCTCTGTTTTCTCTGTTTAGCCATTGACCAACTCCTATTATTCAAATGTTGGACCTCCTGGCCTCAACTTCTCTTTCTCTAATTTTCCATATAATTGCTTTTTGTTCTGCTTTGTGAGAAGTTTCCTCTACTACACTTTCCAAATTTTCCATTGTAGATTTAATTTCTGCTATATTTTTTAATTTCCAAGAAATGTTTTAAATATCCTTTTCCTGTTCTATTGATGCAATATTTTCTCTCATCTCTCTGAGGACACCTCTCCTGGCATAGCCTCTGTTTCCTCCAGTTTGCTTTCTATCTTTCATCTATGCACTTCCTCAGATGTTCGGTGATCCTTAGTTGCTTGTTCATCTTTAAGAGTGGGATGCCATAAAAGACTTTTTCTGTGAGATTCTCTGCAGGGTAATCTGGCTTTGCCTTAGTTGGGGGCTGGTCAGACCCCCAGAGAAGAACCTCCCAATCTCTTGCCGAGAGGGTATGGCTGTGCATATTCTGAGAGTCAGGGAGGGAAGGAGGCTGAGGACCTCAATATTCAATATGCAACCTTCCACTCAATCTCTTTTTAAATTACTGGATGCCTGACCTTAACTCCTGTCCTCAACCTCAGCCTTTGTCAGGGTGAAAGGTCTTTGTCTCACTATCAAGAGTAGGGCAGGAAATTAGGGGTCTTCCTGTCTTTCAGCTAATCTTCATGTTTTCAGTATCATTTTCATTTCAATGTCCACAGTTACCTTTTGTTGCCAACTCCTGAGATTATCTGGGGTTCCAGGTTACAAATCAGGGTTTTTGTTTGTTTTTTGTTTTTTCTGTTGCCAGTTAGGATTACACTTTCTCATACATCTGCTTTTTAGCTTCCAAATTGTTGTTGCTATTTTCCTGTCTCTTCTCTTTGTCTGTGTTTATTCGACTTACTGTCATTTTAGTGGGGCTTGAAGATAAAATAGAGGTGTTCAACCTACTATTTTAACCAAAAACAAATTACTATGTTTATTACATGTTTATCCATCTGTCTTTCCCACCAAATGTTGAAAATCTCGATTGTATCCCAAATACCTGTTCACAATATATTTCAATGTATTTTTATTGAATTAAGTATATTAAAAGAGATTACTTTCTCAACTGTGGTTTTCTGAAAAAATAAATGAGACAAGTAGGTCTGTGTCACACAGGGAGAAAACATTTAGTGTCTGTTTTAGGTCTGATGAGATCTCTAGATCATAATAGGTATGTTATTATACAATTGTTTTATTTTGTATAAAATCCCAGTGATAATTCATTCAGCGAATCCCAAACAATCTACCATCTTAGAAACAAATAATTAAAATGGACTTTGAGAGCTCATATAGTAAGTCCCTTTGGCTGAAAGCATTACCAGTCCATTATATTAATAGTACCAAGAAGAGAGGTTAGCTCATAGTATGAGTTTATTTGACATGTTTGAAAAACTGGAGGATATCAATTCTCTAATTCAATATTATATAAAGAAAGATAAAGAAGCAAGACAAAACAGAATGTCTTCTAGATCCTTAGACGTGAATAACCACCTATCCCTCTGGAGGCTAACCCTCAGATTCTCTGTCCTTCTTTTCTGGCCAAGAGAAAGCCAAAGGCCAGAATATGGGAGTTGCTCATGTAAGCAAGCTGGAGGACAGCCCTGCCGCATGAGTGGGCACAGCACCAGGGCTCTCCCTCCTGGCTCCTCAGCTCCCTTCTTACACGCAGGGCTTGAGCAAGGGGCCCCTATTAGGATTCCTTGTTGGGCCAGGTTTCTTACTACTATGATAGATTACAGTCTTTACCCAAGCATGGCATGTAATGTTTAATGTAAAAGAGATTAAAACAACTTTTTAAAAACCTCTTTGAAAAATGTTTTGAAGAGCAAATAGAGAAAGAAAAAGTAAAGTTTTTATTATGGCAACTTTCAATGTATTCTTGCCACCTCTTGCCATTAAAAACAATATTTGCTAGAATAGATTAAAACAAATTTCAGACAGTATATCATTTTCATCCACAAATTCTTTTTCTTTCTTTTTTTTTTTTTTTTTTGAGATGGAGTCTCGCTCTGTTGCCAGGCTGGAGTGTAGTGGCACGATCTTGGCTCACTGCAACCTCCAACTCCCTGGTTCAAGCAATTCTCCTGCCTCAGCCTCCCGAGTAGCTGGGATTACAGGCAGGCACCACCACACCCAGCTAATTTTTGTATTTTTTTTTTTTTTAAGTAGAGATGGGGTTTCACCATGTTGGCCAGGATGGTCTCAAACTCCTGACCTTGTGATCTGCCTGCCTCGGCCTCCCAAAGTGCTAGGATTACAGGTGTGAGCCACCGCGCCCAGCCACCATCTTATTCTTTAACATATCATGTGCTTAAAGAGTGAAGGCAGGCTTGCGAAAGGCTCTGCTTTGCTGCAGTATCAGCTTTACTTTAACCTGGCATTCTTCCAAAATTCTAAGTGCTCTTGAGGCACATGTTTTCATGGGTATGTACTGGCCTTGTGCTTGTTAGTGAGAATATAATTCAAGTTAGTCATTTTTAATATAACTGCATTCTGCCTTATTTACTTATGCCACTAATCAAACTTTGGAGGCATGTGCCTACTAGATTTATGCATAGTTTATAATCTCATTGTTACATTAAAAAATTATAAATCCATACTGTAGAATGCAGTGATGGTACAATTAGATATATGGAAAAAGGTTTAGTAATAAACACATGCATTAGGTATTATTTTAGAAATGCTTTCAAGCCATTTATTTCAAGTGGTAGTCATGGGGTAGGAATAAGAGAGTTTTCTGAGTCTTGATCAGATAAAACCCAACACTTCTGATCAGTACTCCACTTTCAGCTACTCTTCCCATTTTAAAATCTCTTCTTTAGTCTCACCATAGTCATTAGGCTACCTCTCCCATTTCTCTTCTCTTCATATTCAACTACTATATAGTGAGTGTCTACTATGTGCTAGATGCTGTACAAACTAGATTCCCTTTTAATTCTCCCACCCAAGTACTAATCAGGCCCGACCCTGCTTAGTTTCCAAGATCAGGTGAGACCAGGTGTGTTCAGGGTGGTATGGCCGTAAACTAGATTCCATTTAATTCTTACGACAGCCTATGGATGTGCCAGCTTCACTTTGTCCATGTGAAACCCAGGCCAAGAGGTTTTGCACAGGGTCCCTGACTCTAAAAGCCATGCTTTTGCAGTGCTCACGTTGCTCTCAGGAATATTAGTGGTGATTGGATCAGTTAAAGAAAGTCAAATCAACACCAAAGGAGGTAACAAAATGTTTAAAACTGGACCCATACCTGCTCCATGGAATCCCCCGCAGACATAGAGTTTCCCATCCACTGCCCCTGCATTGGTGGAATTGGTGCGGAGTGAGAGGAGGGGACTTGGCATGGGAGGGCCCTCTCGCCAAAAGTCCCCATCTGGGTTGTAGATCTCCACCACGTCAAGGCATTTTCGAACCTGGCCCTTGTCTTGACCTACACAGCCAATGCCACCTGCAGAGAATTATGTGGAGAAATGAGAGGATCAGGAACTGAAACTCAATTGTGGACAGCACTGCCCCCTGCATGGTTTGTATCAAAGGTTTATGGGACTGTAACTTTTCTCTTTCTTGCCAGGTGCTACCTTGAAGACAAGTTCTAAGCAATAGTGATGTCTACTGTGTACTCCATAGCGACATTCAATGTCATTTTTATTCATAGTGTTCTCCTTGTTTGTGATCATGCATGAGACTGAGTCTACCACTGGCTTATATTCTATAATATCCAATGCTGGTTCACATCATGAGCATCCCCTTTATAATAAGAATTTCAGGGTTGACTGTAAAGGTAACCTGACTTTGACATCTGCCTTGCTGTTGATGGTTAGCAATGCTTTTGCTGATGTGGCTAGCTAGGAATGTGTTCTTCCCATCCCTTATCATTGCAAGCTGGTTTCTCCCTCTCTTCCTAAGTTGCATGATCTTTCCCAACTAGGGAAGGACTATTCTTTGGTAAATTTCAGGAAAGGCCCTAAACCCAAATGCCCAGTGCATCTTCCAGTTTTGGATGATATAGTTCATTCATCAGATAATTATTAAGTGCCTATTATATGTAAGGCAATGTGCTAAGTTATAATAAGGAGTTCTGAAAGATGCATAAAACATGTTTCCTGCTGTTAAGAAATTAATAGGATGGAAAGGGCCGTGTTTGCAAATAAATAAAGTAGAGGACATCAAGACAGGTGTCTTAAAGAGATAAAAGTGAGATTTAGAAGTCCAGGGACTGTAACAAGGAATATAAATAACACTTAGAGAATCATGACTTTAAGTACAACTCTCCATTGGAAAAATAATTGTATACAAATTTCCTATCCACTGTTACAAGAAACACATTTCTATGCACTGCTTTTATTTTCCCCTCCCAAGTCCACACTGGAAGGTCATCAAGGTCAGGGCCATATTTCCTGATCTGAAGGATGGCTCCTGAGACTGAGGTAAACCCCCCGGAAGGAGGGACATGCCTGTATTTGCAGACACGCCTCTCATCGATGACCTCATTCTATCCAGACTCACAGCCTGGTCTGTGTGACTAATCAAAAAGCCTGTAAAGCACTGGCCTCAGGTAAACCAGCTCTCCTTCACATAGAGAGGTCCTGGAAGAGTCACTGTGCAAACTGCATATGTTGGGTGGTGACTGATACTGGAGTATGTTGTTGACAGCGATCTCAAAACCAAAATTAAGAACTCTGCTTTGATCTCATGGCTTTTACTATATGTATCACATACTGAGAAATTAATCTCATGTGTTTCCTGGCCTGTCTTCTTTCAGTGTCATTTTATACCCTTTGCCTATCACTGCATCAGTCAGGTGGTATTTTCACCATCACCTGCTTTCCTATCTTGCTCACTGGCCTGTCGTTTTCCATATTGCATCCCTAGTACCTAGCCCAGTGCCTGACACGTTGTGTGTTGGAATGAAGAATGAGAAGTTTAATTTTGCATGTGCTTTCCCTGCCTGTCCAAGTGAGTGTGCTACTGGGGCCAAAGGCCACTATTCTGCATCTTTTATATCACAGGGCCTGCCACACAGTACTCAATGAATCCAAGAAGATTGATGGGAACAGCTTATTTTCACCATGGTTGGGGCTTATGCCAGGCATAAAAGCTGATGGAAGGGCACTTTGAAGGAAAAGTCTTTTTTTCTCTTTGCTGATATAAACTGACCTGTTTCCTGTCTCAGTTTGAATCCAGGGACTGAGGCTATAAACTAACTCAGGAGGCTTTTAGCTGCCTTCTCTCTTATCCGACTGGATAAATAATTTAGCCCATTACAGTGCCAAGTTTGAGCTGCAGCGTTTCCAAGGAGGGGACACACTGGCCTCGGTTAACGGCACAGCTCTGCTGTTCCTGGGCCCTCTTTCAATGTGGCACTGTGGTAGCGAGAGCTTTCTCAGCCTAACAAAAAGTGGAGTTTCCTATTTGTAGGGCAAGAAGGACTTAAAGAGGAGGATTTAACCATAGGAGTTGAAACAAGCAATCACCCATAAGGTAAGAGTAAGATGATCTAGTTGTCTGTTTTTGTGAGATCCAGGAGAAATGTTACTAGGCTGGTTTGTATTACAGCTCCTCCAGAAGACCAGCAAGTGGAAGCAAAGAGGTCAAATGCGAGTCACTGGAGTTGGGTTAGGGCACACGGAGCAACCAGCATCCTGAATCCAGCTCACAAATTTCACATAAAAGCCCATTAGAAGACTTCCCCAACATGACGCATATACAGAATGGGTATTATTCTCTTGATTTTTGCAATAATTAGTGTTGTCACTTTTGATGCTCTGTTACCAAGTGTATTTAATTATAATGTTCAGCCCTAACTCTACAAAACTAGCCCTTTCTATTTGGTTGGCAGGCAGTTCACACGCTCCACTCAAGGAGTGACATGAGCTTACAGCGTGCTCTGTCTTTGTTTCTGACCATTAATGCCTGAACACATTCTCTGTCTCACTTGGATGTAATTCCACCATCAAGTACACTCTATTAGCAGCAGACTTAATGAGCTTAAACTGAAGGTGAATCCTGATTAGGTAAATAATCAAATGAAAGCATGATCTTCATTAATAAGTCAGCACCAGCACTACAAGAGAAATCTTTTGATGAGAGGTGTCTTGGGGTAGGATCAGTACATCTGTAGAATTTCAATGAGATACCTCCATATCTTTAATTTATACGAACCTCTGAGCATGACTTTTCTTTATTCAAAAACAGACAAATGAATAGAAATTATATTTGCAGGTCATATCCAAATGGACCTCAAATGCAAAATATATACCCTGGTTTTTATTTATTTATATTTTTTGGTGTGTGCGTAGTGGAAAGGGGGAAATTATAGAAGAGGACAATGCCTGCCTCTCTTCTTTATCATTTCTATAAAGACTCCCTCCTTCTTGTGTGTGTGGCTATTTTAGATTCTCTCCTCTCTGTGGGGTGCAGGAGTGAACCTCTCCTCCCACACAAAGCCTGGCAGGGAGCTGGCTGAAGCAGAGGGGAGTGGTACTCGCTGCCCAAGTTGCCCTTGAATGCAGTGGTGCTTGCTCCCAATGTCCTCTGCCTGCAGGGTCACCTCAAGGTGGCAGGCTTATTCTATTTTCCCCTGGGTTTGATCCAGAACAGGAGGTGGGGGTTTGTAATCCTTCAGATAAGCTTCCAAAGTTGCCTGTCGTGCTAAACCAGTCTTAGGGGAAAAATGTACATATATTTACTATTGTCGGCACCCACGTGCCTTGGAAAAAGCATGTGGACTTTGGAAACACTCAGACCCTGGTCCCTACCCTGTGTCACCATTTACTAGCTAGACAAAGTTGGTCAATTTAATTTATCTCAGCCTTTTCTCATCAGTAAATTAAGGATAATGACAGCAATTCCATAACCTGTTGCAAAGATTCACTTATTAGGCAACCATGTAAGGGTGGAGAAGGGTAAGGAGGAACTCCCATTTGTTGTATACCTATTCACAAGTATTGCCACAGGAATTTTTCTTTAATACCTATTCTCATGCACGGTGTGTAAACAAAATGGCTAGCATGCAGGAGGCACCCAAATGTTAACTCTCATTCTCTTTCATGTTCTAGGATGTTTCATGAGTAACCGGTGTTTATTAAAGTTGCTGAAATCCTACCTTTGATTACTCTCAATTTAATTATTTGCTATGTCTATAATTGATGGTTTACTAACTGTATGGTCAAATTGTCCTTAATAGTTTCTTCCGGGGTTGGATAGAGAGATTCAGAAGGCCAAAGGGCTGAGGAATGGGCAGAGCCTTCCTCTCAGGCTTCAGGCAGAGGGAAAAGCTCCCTGACATGACTTAGAGTAACTCATTTGGTCATAAATGTTTGAGAGAGGTAGGAGCTGTTGGTGGACCTAACAATAGAAAAGGATTTTGCAATGCATAGGCTTCTAGGAGTTAAACTGGCCCATATATCTGAGTGGATGGGCTACTTTCTGACTCACATGTCAGACATGATCTATTCACTGCTAATATAATGCTTGTGATGATTTGTTTCATTCTCACACAAGTTGTCAGCTCTCTGATTTTTTTCCAACCTCGTATCAGAATTCTAGCTTTGGTGCCTAAAACCCTAGAAAACATGAACCTAGCTTCTTGCCACTTTCTAAAGTCTAACACAGGAGGCTCTTGGGTATTTTCAGAATGAAGCCCTTCAGTACAAGGCTGACAGCTGCTTACCTGCCTTCTACCGGATTCTGGTTGATACTGTGCAGTGCTCATCAATAGGGTGCCTGGGCTCACAGAACAGGGCTGCTGGGCCCCCATGTACTGTGGCCATTCTCCATTCTCTCTATCTGCTGGCCTTCATAGCCCTTGACCAGCTTTTTCTTGCCAGGCCAGGAAAACACAATCATCTGTCTGCTTTTTGTTTGCTACCCCACACAGATGACTATGAAAATCAAATAAAAGAGCTTCAAGGGGAAGACCAAGTTCCATTTGTTACAGCTTGATTTTGCTTCATTTTGGAGGGAAAAATCAAGTGTTGGAATTATCTGATAACTTCCGAGTGGACATATAGCTGGTTTAATAGAACGTTCTGGAGCTGGGCCCTGAGTGCCAAATAAGCTGCAATTACACAATGCTGTCCCATCTGATCCTGAGTGATACCCGGGCTTTTGTGTCAACCCAGCACTGGGTCTTAGTGGATTTTCAGTCGAGTCTGGGCCTTTCAAACCCTGGGCCCATCTTTTCCTTGTCTCTTCTCCATCTTACCACCAGTCTGTCCTGCAGGGGTCCCAGCAGGTCTAAAGCCTGGGCCAGTAAGGGGAGAGCACAGAGTGGAGAGCCTGGACGTGGTGGGTGGGAGTGAGCTTAGGGGATGGCCCATAGATGCCACAGCAGGCTAGAGGTGCCAGCTGCAGATGAATGTCACCACAGCCCTCCTCTCAGCAGTCACCGACTCTGCTGACTGTACCTCCTCAGTGCCTCCCATACCCATCCCCTCCCCTACAGACACCAAGTCTTGGTGACCCAGCTGCTCCTAACTCCTCACATGCCTGGTCTGCCCTTCTCCCTCCTGCACCGCCCCTGCCCCTGAGGCACCAGAACACTCAACCATTCTCCAAATAAGGGAGGCTGTTTGTCTCTAGGCCTAGGCTTGGGCTGATCTCTCCGCCTAGAATGGCCTCTTCTCCTCCTCAACTTGGCAAACCCCTACTCCTCTTTCAAGGCTCAGCTCCACCTTCAACCTCTCACAAAGCCTTTCATGTCTCTACACAGAATTGGCCATTCCCTCTTTTTAGGCTTCCACTGTCCTGAACAGAAATCAAGGTTCCTATGAAAATACATTGCTCTAATTTATCTCCCTATATGTTGCCTTGTTAGATGAGACTGTAAGTCCCTTGAGGGCAGATGTCTAATCACATCTGTATCCCCAACACTTTCTACACTGGGTACGGACAGTGAAGACACAAACACTGAACAGAATGCATGGGTGGGTCAGCTCCTTACTCATGTCCTAGGTATCTTTTTTTCTTATACTTTTTTTTTTGGTGGCGGTTGGGGGAGCGGTCAAAACAGAAAGTGATAACTGGCTTTTCAGAATATGGCAAGTCCTAAATCCAAAGAGCTAAAAGTTGGCTGATTATAAAAGTCATCTTCTTAAGAATATAGGAATCTAATCTCAGATCCTGAGAAAAATGACTGCTGTCTGTTGTTGGGCTCATCTTTTCCCCCAGATTGGCCTGCCTAATACTAGTACTTCTATGAAGTGGTCCTGCAAAGAGCTATTAGTCAAACCTATTCCACAGCTTAGAAATGAAAGAGACACAAAATTTTATAAGTCCTTGAAGGCAAGGTCTACATCTTTATCTTCCCTGAGGTGCTAAGCACAATATCTTCTAAAGGATGCTTGACAGTATTTGTGAAATAAATATTAAAGAAAAAATATTATAATAAGTCTTTGGCATATTTATCTTGTGTCTAAGTGAAATGATTTACAGAAAATGATAGTTTGTGCTCATTTCCATATTTACCCAAGAAATGGCAGAGGAAGGGAGTGATAAAAATATTGATCACATGTATGAGTTAGGATAAAGGAAGAAAGATAGTACATATTACTCCAAATGACAGTTTTTTGGTAATCGATATTTTCCTCTTTAAAGCACAAAAATTTTCCATTTCAACTCTTTATACTGTTTTAAAATATGTATTACGTTCTTCTCTGCCTTAGTGAACTGAAGATACCAAATATAGTGGAACATTTTCTTAAGGATTCAGGAGTAACAAAATGATCTGCTGTTTATAATATGCCATGGATATAGACAGTTCTACACATTAAGCTGCACAAAGACATGCCTAAGATTTGCTTTCTTAAATCCTTGTTATTGGCATGTTTTCTTTTTCTTTAACAATTTACCTCTTTTTCATAAAAGCAAAGCACAGATTGTATAGTTGTACAACTCTTTGCCTCTGTAACATTAAGCTTTCCTGCAGACACACACTAGTAGATCAGAGCCTGAGACAGCATTCTCCTAGGATATTTCTCATCCACGCGCAGTAACATGAGTACTGTCCTGTGGGGCTTTCACACTGTAGAAGCTTCTAAACATTCTAATTTCAGAATCAAACACATTTTAAACTTGTAGTTAATTTAAGCAATCTAAAAGTATATTTTGGATACCCACTCATGTTTGTACTGGGTGTCATAGAATAACAAGTTTGAGGATTTTTTTTTTTTTTTGTCCATAAGACACTCAGAGTCTGCTGGGAAATAAAGGACAAATATGAAAACATATATAATACAGGATTATAATTACACACTGATGGAATAAAGTGTAATTTTTAACTCACTGTCACAATAATATATAGAATGCTAACTCCCTGTGAACTTGTGGGATATCAATGATAAAAATTACTATAGCTAAGTTGCAATTTGGGAGCCACAGGTAAACTTTGGTCTTTTAGAGTACTTATTTCTGAGTTATTTGTTGAGGGTGCCAGATAATAAAGGTTTAAAACCCCTCATATGATTAACTGGAAATATATTTTATAGATACTTATAGCAAAAACATAATGAGCCATTCACTCCAGCTCAGAGCTACTGAATCTCTAAATCCAAGTCTTTTTTCAGAACAAGGAGGCATGAGGAATATCTTGTCTGACTTCTTTGGCCATGGTAAAGCATTTCTTTCCTTGTTCATCATGAATGTATGAAATGTATATCTAAGCCCAGAACACTCTTGCAATTAGAGCAGAACATAACTGACAGCCTATTCTGGCTTATCAGTGCCAGGACACTTTGAGCAAGTAACTTTATCCAACTTCCTAGAATATTCAAGTACACAATGATGCTGTTTAGAGGAAGAGATATTGCCTTATTCATCTGTATCTCTTCTAAAAGCCAGCCCAGGGCCTGGCTTATGTAACATATGCTTAGCAAATATTTTGAGCATATAATATGTCCATTAATATGATATTACCTTTCCACTTTCCTCAGAACATCTGTGTTTTTCGAAGTGCAATCCTGTGATTTTTTTCACGCCAGAATTGCCTCTATATTTCCTACAATTCAGATTCCTAGGTTTCATTTTAGACTCACTGACTCTGAATCTGCCAATAGTGAGGGCCAGGAATCTGCCGTTTTAGTAGGCAACCTAGGTAATTTGAGACTTACACTTTTCAAAAATTGCTTAGAATTTTATCAAAAGAAAAGGGTAAAATCTTACCACAATAAAGCTTGGTCTTCTCATTTCACAAACTAACTCACCATTAAAATTATCTTTGAAATGCAGTTACTGTAATAATTTGAACCTTTTATGTAACTTTTCCCTTCATTACTCTTTAATGGCATTCAAGCTGAGAGTCAGACTTGGACAGTGCTGTTATGTTTTCAGTAAACCAATGAGGCACAAAATGGTTTCCTGGAGAAAACATTGATAGTTTGGGACATTAGCTATGTGGGAAAACTCAACATTAACTGTCTCCCTAGACAGGGAAATGAAAAGTCCCTATTTCAAAACATTCTCCATAAGACCTGTAAAACTCTGATAATTTCTGTGGCATTTTACATGATAGAAGAATAGGACAGGTTACAGAGATGTGAAAATGCAATTCAGTAAACAAATACTTACTGAGCATCTATAACGTAAAGCCAGGCCCTGGGCTGGCTTTCAGAGGACACACAGAGATGAGTAAAACAACGTCTTGTGCCTTAGACAGTCTGAGTATAGTGTGACAAGGGCAGCGACTGGCAAAGCAGCATGCTCTTCGTTCTGACCAAAGGATTACATAAACCACTACAAGGAGATGGGATTTTTGCCAGATTTTGAGGATGTTGAGTTAGGCCCTACACGCAAAGGGAACAGGGTAAACAAAGGCACAGGAGGAAAGCATGTTCAGGAAGTGACCCCCAGTCCCTGTGGCTGGCGCTAGGCTTTGTGGGGTGGAGGAGTGGCAGGAGGAGCTGAGGCTGCAGGGGCAGGCTGGGGCCACGTGTGAAAGGTCTACTGCCTCCATAAATAGATTCTGGCCTCACTTTCTATATTTGATTTTGCCTGACCCATCAAGCTGAAGCAACTTTTGAACGCAATTTGACATTTTAAGAACACTTGATGGAAATCCAAAGCATATTCATGAATACACATTTTCATTTCAGAAGGAAGCATAATTTATTCAAGAGCATAACTAATAGTATGAGATCTAAAATGCTTTCCAGTTTATCTTACATGCAAACTTCTTTTCTAAGAGACAGCCCCTGGTACCATATTTAAATCAGTATTTTATAACAGAAGCATTCACCAAGGACTCATAATGAGATTTCAGTGAGGTTGAACCCAGAATGTTCTACCTTCCCCCAAATTTTACTAATAGGAGTCTGTATTTGATTCATTTTCTACTTTATTATTCATAAAATGGATTTAAAACCTTGAAAACAAGGCATTAATATTTTCTACAGCAATAAGATATATTAACCTAAAATTTCTGGACTACCTTTTTAGGCAATTAGGATGTATTTTAGATTAAAGAAGCTTAACTAGCTCTTATAATGAGCTTTCACTGTACAAATGACAAAAGATTTTTCCTTAGAACTAAGGCACCTTCCCTTTGGTCTCCTCCTGCATGTCAGTGGTTCTGTCATTAAACAACAGACCACTCCTTTCTGCACTTCCTAACAAAAATAGTTACGTTCCTGAGAAGGGCCTCAGGAAAAAAAAGTCAAAAGGAAAGCTGGCTGGTTTTAAATACCTGTGTTTCCACTTAGGGTATCATTGACTCATAAGACTTATATAGACTAAATTATTTTAGGCTTTCTAGGAAGTTATCCAACAGAAGAGCCAATTACAGTGTGGCAAAGCTGACAAAATGCACATGTAACCACATGAGCAATGGAGTCACTTGAGCAATCTGGCCATATCTATTCCTTTATTTTTATGTTAAGAAGGCAATTTATAGATTTCCAGGAAAAACTATCCAGTATATGACTAATATGCCCCTTGGCTAGTTTGCCATAATTCCAGAAGCTGTTTTCATCTAAATTCAAATTATTCATGGTATCTGTGACAACACACTTTTTAAAGACAAACATTTACACGAGAAAAATTCAGCATAGGTTTTAACTGAAGTCCATATTCTAAAATCTTTACAACTCAAAGCAAACCTCCAGGGTCAGTGCTAGCCACAATGTCCGGTAATACAATGTTTTCATCTTTAATTCCTATTAGAAGAGTACATTCTGGACAATATTTTCAAAGAGTTCCTTACATGAAAATGTGTACCTGGCTCCATACAGAAAAGCAGGCTGTGTGAATGTGCAGTAAGTATGTCATTAGCGCATGTTTACAATAGGAGGAAATGAAGAAAGTAGAAAGACTCAGTCCTTTGACTCCCAACGCATGAGGACAGAATGACCTCATCTCAGTATGCCTCCTCATTTGGGCCTGGCAGGGCATTAACAATAAGATGACGGGCTGAACATTATTAGGACACTAAAGCACAGTGGACTCTTTGCCACTTACTATAAGCAATAATGATTGTTATAACTCTCATCTATTGAGCACTTCTCATATGCCAAGCACAGTGTTCAGCATTTGGCATAATACTCTCTTAAGCTTTGCAACAACTGCATGAGTTAATAATGTATTATTATCATCCTTATTTTATGAATAAAGAAAACAGATTTAGCAAAATTCAGCAACTTGCTCAAAATCACATGGTGCTATTAAGTTGCAGAGATAAGATTGGTCTGCAGAAGGACCTTTCCTTTCTGTGGCTTATTTCTGTTAAAGAATACACCTGGGAAACCTTTGTACACATGAGATTTACTCAGAAAATTTATAAAAAATGTAATAAGGTAAAGGCAAGGGCCATTAACCAAATGATTCCGATTATCCTGCTTGCCTAAATCTTTCCCTGTGGTGGTTAGATGCTGCCTGTTACAGTAACTCCTCATTTAACAGGAAGTCAGACGATTGCTAGTGCCCAGAGCACAAGTGAAAACCCTGAGCAATGTAAAACAAGTGTCTGAGTATTGGTGCTGTGATAAAAGACCTTGAATTTTATTCTGAAAAAACTGGAGACATTGTTAATGACACAAGGTCTAATGGCCTAACTGTATGTGTAATCTAAACATATGTACAATTGCCTGCATATATAGTCTTGTATGTAAAATCTATTTATATGTATGATTGATGCATAATCTTGTATGTACAATCTGGTAACATAACAGGGAGAGAGCAACAAGAAAAGAAATGGTAACCAACAGCAGTGGGAAGGAGAGGAAAAAAACCCATGAAACCCTGTAATTTGTGGCCTTCTAGTTTAGGGAGCAAATACAGTAGTACATTACTCAATGGCCAATGGACATCACTCACATATAGAGAAGCACAATTTTTGATGCTCTTAATGACTGAGATATTTTAAAAAGTTATTTTAACTTTAAAATTGGACAGATCCGTGTTTGAACCCTGGATTTAGTCACAATATTTGTGTAATAAAAATAAAGAATTTACTTTTGTAGGATATTGTGAGAATTGAGACAATATATGAAATCACCTAGAATTTAGTACTTCTTCAAAAAAATATTATTTTCCTTCAAAGAACTCTTTCACAAGGCAAAGAAGAGTGTGATAACTTGGGATACTTTTTTCCTTGTTAAAAATGTAATCAGATTTAGCCACTTAAAGGTACTGGCATGAATTCTTGGGAAAATGTAACTATATAGAATCTTTCATTTTCCAACAAAGCCAGGAAGACAGTGTTTATACTACTGAGAACTCAAACAGTCAAGGTAGCTTATCTACTTAAGAGTATGTCAGACCTTGGAAAATCTAGATCATGCCTTTATACTGCCCTCTAATCCCTTCTTGCAATACCTTTGTTATACTTTGTTGCACAGTCTGATGTGTTTATCCAGAGTCTTAAATCTACAGAGCCACTGTCCTAAGAAATGTTTCAACGAATAATTTAAAGACAAAATTAACAATGGTGATGAATATTGGGACAATCCCTGATGGTCTGTCTTGCTGCTTGAAGATGAGAAAGGGAGGGGTGGGATACAGAAAAGTCCCATGCTCCTGAGAAAAGACTAATTGTTCCCGAGCCATGACAAGTCAACATCAGAAGTGGTTTTCATCCTGATTAATCAATCAATGACAACTTGCTTCAGTGACCATGACTCTGGAATCAACCAGTCAGAGACAGCCTCACACTGTGGAAGGCAGCCAATCAGAGGCTGACTCACTCCACTGAGTCCTCTTCTAAGGCTGACCTGACCCCTTCCTGCCTCAGCAATGAACAAACATAATCCACACTTCTGAGGAACAGCAATCCACTCTCATCTTTGTAACCAACATTAAACCAAACTCAACTCCTGCCCACAATCCTATATAAAATCATCAGTTTGCTTTGTTCAATGAGAATATCTCTGACCAAATAACCATTCCTACACTAAGTAATCAATAAATTCAGCTTTCGTGGTTTCATATACTGAGTGTGGTCTTATCTCTTAGCAGTAATTGACATTTAATCAAAAAATAGACTAAGATTCATTCATGAATACTAGAGAATGAAGACATTAAAACGTTAAAGTAACTCAACCTACTCTTTCTCTACCATGCTTTGATATATGTTGTTCCTGGTGTAAAGTACAAACAACTTTCTCATTTTTCTTTTCTTTCTGAGATGGAGTTTTGCTCGTTGCCCAGGTTAGAGTGCATGGTGCGATCTTGGCTCACTGCAACCTCCGCCTCCCATGTTCAAGTGATTCTCCTGCCTCAGCCTCCTGAGTAGCTGGGACTATAGGCACCTGCCACCACACCTGGCTTTTTGTATTTTTAGTAGAGACAGGGTTTCACCATGCTGGCCAGGCTGGTCTCGAACTCCTGACCTCAGGTGATCCACCTGCCTCAGCCTTCCAAAGTGCTGGGATTACAGGATTGAGTCACCGTGCCCGGCCTCATTTTTCTTTATTTGACTAATTCCTCCCTGTGGAGTGAGTTAGCTGATCCTTCACTATGTGCACTTAACTATATGCATAGTTGATCTGTCTTGCCCTAGTTCCTGAGTTCCTTCTGGGCATAGAGCGCATCTTTCATCGCTGGGTCCTTAGCACCCAGCGTAATATTTGATGTATTCTTTGCTGCAACAAAGTATTAGTTGAGTCAAATCACAGTATGATAAAAAAAATTCAGTATCTCTTCAATGGACATTATTAGTCTATTTGACATCAATGTTACTTAATTGAATTTTACCTATTATTTAAAAAGGCTTACTTTCCACTGAATTATTTCTCCCATCAATTCTGAGAGGCCAAACTTTGCTTGTTTTCACTCATCTAGTTCCTAAGAACTATTTTCGTCCATTAATCTCTGGATGTTTGTTCCTCTCCGTTAGCCTAGGGCCCTTCTATCTCCTTCTTCCCACTTCCCTCCCTGAGATAATTCTGAATTTCTATGCTATATCTTCTTTCCCCTGCATGTGTGTTTTCTTCCTCCCTTTACATCTTTTGTAGCTCAAAGGCATGTTTTGTAATTTTATTTTTTATGTATATTGCAAATATTACTGTGTCAAGTTAAATTACTCAAGAACAAAATTCAAAAACTGAAAAAGTAATAAAAGTCACATTACATTCTTATTCAAACCCAGTGGGTCAAACTATAAAGCCAACTCTTAAATTCTCATACTCTGAGAGGGAACAAAGAAAATGCAGACAAGAATGTACCCTTCATCCAAGTCATAATTTAGTGATTACCCTGTAAAACTATTTATAAAATGCTATTAAGTCAGAGGTCAAAATTAGCTAATTTGATTTCCAGCTCCTTCCCCTTCAGTTTCCAACTCCTTCCCCTTCTCTGGCTCACCACCTGGCTTACACAGCCGCAAAACAGGGACTAAATGTAGGAATAGAGAAGAGCAGCAGCCTCATCTCCCTTACTCTCTAGAAAGCAGGAATTTCAAGACCTAGCTACTTCAGCTTCAAAATTTCATCCATTCTGTTTCGCAACTTGGATTTTGTGACAGGGTCTTACAGAGCCAGTTAATTCAGGATACCAGAGACAGAGTTCTTGACCATCTGTCCACTCAAGAGCTATATTTAGGGCAAATACCTGGGGCAGTGAGTGAATTCTAGGACAATCATAGTCCCCACACTTAATAATTCCAACTAGGACAATCCCTTTTAGTCTCTTGAAGGTGTGTGCAGGTAGAATTGAGGTGTCTGGTCCTTTCAATAAGCACTAATCTTTTATTACTTTACTGTTGAAATCCTTCAATGGCTCTCCCTCATTTAGAGATAAATTATGAATTCCAAAGCATGGCATTTGAAGTTCTCTGTGGGCTGGCTCTTGTCTAGCTCTCCAGGTTCCCCTCCTGCTACTGTTTCATTGTGCAGCTGGTGTTCCTGACACTCAAAACTACCGTCAGGTAACATGAAATGCAATTGGTATGTTAACGACCAAGAATTCTCTCCTTGTGCTGCTCTGTTGGGCAAACCCCAACTTCTTGAAGTAAGCTCAGAGTCAATCTCTCTGTGACATCTTTTCCAAACCCCTAGATTTGTATAGGCCTCTGTAAGTAGCAATCATCGCATGGAATTCTTTCTGTTTGGTGTGTCTTCCCTGCCAGCTTTCTTGAGGTTAACCTATGCAGCAACTGTGTCCATTATATTCATATAATTATGGTTGCAGGCAAGGAAGGGAAAATTTACCCCATTAGTGTTCTGTCAGAAATATTTATTGAGCACTTATTATATGCCAGACAGGTATTAAGCTAGAGTGGTTGAATGCAGGAAAATTTCTAGTCAGTTTTACAGCTGATAAGTTAGTTCCCTCTTTCCTCCCCTTTCACTGTCTTTGCTTGTTTTGTGATGATTTTGCTATTAAATCCTAATTTGGGTACAAACTATTTCATAAGATAATCTTAGGTAAATGGATCTAACAAACGTGACTGAATGTCCACCTGCTTGCTGGGAGGAAGAAGATACTTTGTAGATGGGCTCAGGAGCCTAGCCCAGAGCTGGAGGCTTTCCCGGTACACCAGGGATTCTCACTGCCACCATGAGGGCCATCTGTACTTTGAAAGGCCCCTTTGCAAAATGAGCATTTACAGACGAGATGCTGATCTTGACTAGGGTTTGTCTGTGCTTTATCCCACTCTTCCAGTTATGGAAAAACATCACAGAATGATATGCTTACATAATGTGAACCAGTTTCCCTAAGCCACCCCATGGGGGAGGGTCTAGTTTATGATCTTTGGCAAGAGATAAGGAAACACTGTAATTCTGAAGTCCAAATCCTGAAGGCAAGAGTACCAGAGAGTACGGGGCCAGCATCAACCAATATATAACTCAGCAGGGCTACTGGCCCTCAGCTTCCTCAAGGTAAAGACAGAACTAGGGACTCCCCAAGGCCTCTGCTAACTGCTTAGGATGGCACTGAAGTGGCCTCAGTGGAACAGCAGGACAAAAGTCTATGATCTTGAGGTCAGGAAGGAACGCACAGTAAAAGTTTTGTTGTCAGATAACTGGCTTCGATTACTGCTATGCTACTTAGTAACCATCAGTTTGAATAAGGTACTTAACCTCTTTGAGGTTCCATTCTTTTCCTTTTTCCCTTTGTAAAATTATAAAACAAATATACAAAAAGAAATGTGTCTAAAACATAACAGGTATGATAACCATTCTTCCACTTCTTTATAAGATGTCATGGAA